>NC_000003.12:82434242-82737272 GCF_000001405.40 Homo sapiens
CAGATAGTTGTAGGTATGTGGCCTTATTTTTGAGTTCTCTATTCTGTTTTACTGATCGATGTGTCTAGTTTTTTGTTTGTTTGTTTGTTTACCAGTATCATGCTGTTTTCGTTACTGTAGCCCTGCAGTATAATTTAAAGTTGGGCAGCATTATGTTTCCAGCTTTATTCTTTTTGCTTACGATTGCCTTGGCAATTTGGACAATTTTTGGTTCTATATGAATTTTAAACTGTCTTTTTTCTTTAGTTCTGTGAAGAATGTCATTGGTAGTTTAATAGAAACAGCATCAAATCTATAAATTGCTTTGAGAATTATGGCCATTTTAACAATATCGATTCTTACTGTCCATGAGCATAAAATGTTTTTCCATTTCTTTGTGTCATTTCTGATTTCTTTGAGCAGTGTTTTGTAGTTATCCATGTATAGATATTTCACCTCCCTGTTTAGCTTTATTCGTAGGTATTTTATTTATTTGTGGCAATTGTGAATGAAATTACATTCCCAATTTGCTTTTGGCTTGAGTGTTTGGTGTATAGGAGTGCTAGTGATTTTGCACCTTGATTTTGTATCCTGAGACTTTGCTGAAGTTGTTTATCAGACAGGAACAGTCACTTTTTGATATGGCTTGGCTGTGTCCTTACCCAAATCTCATCTTGAATTCCCATGGGTGGTGGGAGGTACATGGTGGGAGGCAATTGAATCATGGGGGCAGGTGTTTCCCATGCTGTTCTTATGGTAGTGAATAAGTCTCATGAGATCTGATGGTCTTATTAAGAGGAGTTTCCCCACACAAGCTCTCTTCTCTTGTCTGCTGCCATGTGAAACATGAGTTTCACCTTCTGCCATGATTGTGAGGCTTCCCCAGCCGTGTGGAACTCTAAGTCCATTAAACCACTTTCTCTCGTAAATTGCCCAGTTTGGGATATGTCTTTATCAGCAGTGTGAAAACAGACTAATACACTTTTCAAAAGAAGACATATATGCAGCCAACAATCATATAAAAAAGCTCAATGTCAATATCACGGATCATTAGAGAAATGTAAATCAAAACCACAATGAGATACCATTTCACACCAGTCAGAATGATTATTACTAAAAAGTCAAGAAATAATAGATGCTAGCCAGGTTGTGGAGAAAAAGGAGCACATACACTTGTTGTGGGAGTATAAATTTGTTCAACTATTGTGGAAGACAGTGAGGCAATTCCTCAAAGACCTAAAAACAGAAATATCATTTGACCCAGCAATCTTATTACTGGGTATATACCCAAAGGAATATAAATTGCTCTATCATAAAGACACATACATGCATATGCTCATTGCAGCACTATTAGCAACAGCAAAGACATGGAATCAATCTAGATGTCAATCAGTTGTAGACTAGATAAAGAAAATGTGGTATATATACACCATGGAATACTATGCAGCCATAAAAAGAACAATATCATGTCCTTCACGAAACATTGATAGAGCTGAGGGCCATTATCCTTAGCAAACTAATGCAGGAACAGAAAATGAATACTGCGCATTGTCACTTGTAAGTGGGAGTTAAATGATGAGAACACAGGGACACATAGAGGGGAGCAACACACGCTGGAGTCTATCAGAAGGTGGGAGGTGGGAGAAAGAAGCGGATCAGGAAAAAAACAAACTAATGAGTACTAGGTTTAATGCCTAGGGGATAAAATAATCTGTACAACAAACCCCCATGACACACATTTACCTATATAACAAACCTGCACACGTACCCTTGAATTTAAAATAGAAGTTAAAATTTAAAAAAAGTGGTAACCAAAAGGGAACAGGGGTAAGCTATACTTATATCAGAAAAAACAGATTTTAAGTAAAAACTATCAAAAGAGACAAAAAGGACATTATATAATGATAAAATGGCCAACTTTATCTATCTATATTTATATACAAAATTGTTAAATCGGCCTAGTAAGTTGACCATTAGTGTGTATAAATATATATGTAAATGTATGTGTGTGTGTGTGTGTGTGTGTGTGTGTTCACCTCACACCAGAGTTACCAGATATATGAAGCAAATACTGACAAAATTGAAGGGGGAAATAGATAGCAATACAATTATACTAGCAAACTTCAATACTCCAGTTTCAATAATGGATATAACAACAAGAATACCAATAAATAATCAGAGGATATGAACAAAATTTTAGACCAATTGGACTGAACGGACATATGTAGAACACTTGACATAAGAATATACATTCTCCTCAAGTGTGCACATAACATTCTCCAGGATAGTTGACATATTAGCTCACAAAAAAGTCTTAACACATTTAAGAAGATTAAAATGATACGAAATATCTTTTCCAACTAGAATAGAATGAAACTAGAAATTGATTGTAGTAGGAAAACAGTAAGGATCACAAATGCATGGAAATTTAATAACATGACATCCTTAAATGTCCAACAGTTTAAAGAATAAATTACAAGATAAATTTAAAAATATCTAGACATAAATGAAAAAGAAAACACAACGTATCAACACATATGGAATGCAGCGAAAGCTATACTAATGGGAAAGCTTATAGTGCTAAATGCTTACAAAGTAGGTAACCTAGAAGTGACAAATTCCTAGAAATATTCAACCTACCAAGACAGAATTATGAAAATATAGAAAATATATGCAGATCTATAGAAAGGATATTGAACCAATAATCAAAAAACTCTCAAGAAAGAAAAGCCCAGGAACAGATGACATCATTAGAGAATTCTACTAAACATTTAAAGAAGAATTAATGCCAACTACACCAAACGTAAAAACTTCTGTGCAGCAAAGGAAACAATCAACTGAGTGAAAAGGCTTATCTCTGACCCTTTTTTAGGGTACTCGCTTACAGTTTTATCAAGTTCTCAAACTTCCTTATGTAGCATGTATTTTGTAATGCCTTCCTTCTTATCCTAAAATAAAAACCACACATACTGTGAGCAAATTATATACATTTAAAAAAAAATTAATATAATATCACACTGTAATGAACAAAGTGAAAAAAGTTTTACTTATATTTACCTAAGTGTAATACATGCTTGAGAATGATGCACTAAAACATGGGTATACAACCTTTTTCTGTAAAGTGCCAGATACTAAATATTTTTGGCTTTGCCAGTAATAGTCGCTGTTGCAGCTACTCAACTCTAGCATTATAGTACAAAAGAAAGTCATAGACAATAGGCAATAAATGGGCATAGCTTTGTTCCAATAAAACTTAATTTGCAAATTCAAATGACAGGCATGAGTTTGTCCAGGGTCTAAGTTTGCCAATCCTTGCGCTAAAGACATTATTGAATCATCAGATGTTTGCCTGAATATGTGAAATGATTGTGTATTCAATAACTTCAGATGAAAAAAATGATAGAAATATATATGTGTGTTCGGGTGTATATGTTAGCACTATGAGCAGCAATGTTGTTGGTGACATGATTTTCCAAAGTTGTAAATGACACTGGATAAATTTCTGAAGTCCAAATTGTGTAAATTGCTTTTACACTCACATGAATATTTGGTAAGATTATTTGAAATTTCTATAGTCATACCAGTTATGTGTCAACCAAAAGTGATTCTAAAAATTTCCAAAATGCTTCCTCAATAATGGTACCACCTCCATGTGACATTATTTTTGGTTAAATTCTTGGAAGTGGAAATTTTCTATCAAAATGTAAATAGTATTTTGTTATTATGCTTTGGTAACATAAAATATATGGAGTATTTATCCATTCTTTGACCAGAAAATTAGTTTGTAATATTTAAAAATTTTAACACTAGAAAAAAGGGCTATAAAACACTTTGACTCACATAGTCCTTTAAGTTTGACTTATGTGGTACTTGGCAATTATACAAATTTATAAAAATATATACTACTTTATGTATTCTGAATTAAAACCCCATTTTATTATGTGGATATTAATCTAATTTTTACAAATATGGCTATATTCCTAATAGATGCAAATATTTATATTTTAGATCTTAAACATAAACTCTAATAAACATCCTATCTTTTTTTACCTATTATAATTTACTATTAGGATATTTTTATAAATATAATCTGAAAATGAACACATTTTTACTGAAAATTTTATTAGGCAAGCTAAGATTATATTAGGCAATACCTAATTTTATTAGGCAAGACCAGGATTATAATCCATTAGAGGGTTCATAAAATATTATTACAAAACAGAACAGACTGTGAACATATTTATAACGACATCAAAACCTTAATATTGAATTGTATACTCAGTGTACATCTACTTTAATCAAAATTTGCTATTAAATGGTTATCTAAGAAAGTTTTACTCATTATGAATTTATTTCTACTTTAACTTTTTGAGCATTGTGGTTATAACTAAATTTGATAAATCAAAGAGGAAAACCCTCAGCCTTTGTCATTTTCCATGATATTGACATTTTTGAAGATTGCATGCCATGATTTTGAAGAATGTTTTTCACTTTGGGTCTGTCAAGTTTATTATTATCAGCAGTCACTTGTACTCCAATACAGCATAGCTCTCATTTCTATTTTGCTGT
This sequence comes from Homo sapiens, assembly GCF_000001405.40. NCBI lineage: Eukaryota > Metazoa > Chordata > Mammalia > Primates > Hominidae > Homo > Homo sapiens. Next base: position 82,438,791 of record NC_000003.12, read on the forward strand.
TGTTGTTTGTTATGATTGTTGTTAGTATGGTTTTCAACCTTCTGGACTTGACTCTGTAATACCATACTTTGATTTTTAAAATTTTAGTTCCATTTTTATTTCCCTCAAGCAACTTTTCTCCATTTTCCCCACAGTCACCAGAATGTGGGCTCCATTAGAGCTAAGATTTTGACTGTCTTGTTTAGAATTTTTTTTTTACCTCCTAGCCCAATACCTACATGTATTTTCTCATAAGCGGAGTCTGATTTTATGTATATTTGATAGGAATTAACCATGGTGATGTGTTCTTAGTTTCATCACATTCAAAATGCAAATCTTGTCAATTTGCCCCTTTATTGGTGTTGTTAATTTTGTTAAATATGTTCACTTAGTTTTACACTCTAATATTACCATTTTTCCCTTTGTAAATAGCATGTAAACTATGGGGAATATAGACTGTTTAAATATCATGTTCTTCAAATTTTTACCCAGTATGTTTAATAACCATTTAAAATTCTTGCCTGAATCAATTATTACCCTCACAGTTGAAAAATGATGTTCTAACTCTGTTTTATATTCATATTTATTTGTTAGAATTATAATGTAATAAAGACCTCCCTCTTCTTGCTTATGTTTTTATCTATATGTACTCAGAAATTTTTTTTCAGTTTTTCAATTATTATTTTTTTCTTACTGTCATTTTTTTGTGAGACAATACAACTAAGTACAATTTGTGATGCTGTATTCGATCCTAGATCAGGTAAAATTTGCCATAAAGAACATTATTGAGAAAACTATAGAAGTATTACATAAAATTATTGTACAAATATTACATGCCTGTAATTACATAAAAGCATGTCTTTAAGTTGTCTTTATATGTTAGAAAAATTCATAATTATAGATAAATTGACATGATGTCTACAACTAACTCACTAACATATGTTTGTGTGTACAGAGAGATAGAGCAGGGAGAGGGAATGAAAGCATCAGGAGTAGTATTCTTGCCAAAAAGGCATTACCTAAATCTCATCATGATGAAATGTTAGATAAATTCAAATCAAATTATAGGACATTCCACAAAACAAGTGTTCTATAACCCTTAAAAACGTCAATATTAGACAATCAGAAAGAGAGTGCACAAATGTGACAAAATGTTAACAATTGTTGAATTCATCTGGATGAAGGAAATGTGAATTTTTTGTACCATTCGTGTAATTCTTCTGAACATTTGAAATTCTTTCAAGAAAAAGTTTAAAATTAGTTATTGAAGAGATGACCATACCAAAACAAAAATAAGAATGAAATTACTCTAAAATGTTGATGTCTTATGATGCAGAAACCTTTAGTCTATATATGCTAAGACTTTGTGATTTTACTGGTCTCATCCTTTCTATGTGTTCTATTATACACTTCAACTATAACTCAATTGGTAAACAGATTGACCTATTGAAAAAAAGCTCTTACTGAAGGCAAGATGGTTTTTTGTTGCAAAGGCAGATTTTTAAAATATCAACAGTGCACAGAGAGTATTAATAAAGTGGGTCTTTTTTTTCTGTAAAAAGAATAAATCTCCCTCATTTTTCTTCATCTAATAAAGTGATATATATTTATTCTATATATCATTTTATATATGAGAAGTATTTTCAAACATTTTATATATAAATATAAATGTGTATACACACACACACATATTTGACGGTTAAAAATTTTGTCTATCCTTGCTGGGTCCTTTTATTTTTATTTTTCCCCCAAGATATAAAACCAGAATAACAGTTTTTTTGTTGTTGTTGTTGTTTTTCTAGATGGAGTTTCACTCTTGTTGCCCAGGCTGGAGTGCAATGGCATGATCTCGGCTCACTGCAACCTCTGCCTCCCAGGTTCAAGCGATTCTCCTGCCTCAGCCTCCCAAGTAGCTGGGATTAGAGGCATGCGCCACCACACCCGGCTTATTTTGTACTTTTAGTAGAGACAGGGTTTCTCCATGTGGGTCAAATTGGTCTCGAACTCCTGACTTCAGGTGATCTGCCCACCTCGGCCTCCCAAAGTGCTGGGATTACAGGTGTGAGCCACCGTGCCTGGCCCAGAATAACGTTTTATCCCTCAAATAATTTTGCCCATAAATAAAAGTCAGTATAGAAAACAATATCCTTCTAGACTATGCCACTAATATCCTTCTGGAGTATGCCACCATAAGTAAGGAAGTCATCTTCTATATAAAAAGGCCAGTTACACATTAAGGGTTTATTTATAGAAAAGGATACTCAGGCAGACAGGGCCCTACCTTGGGTAAGGAGAACAGGAAAATGCCTTGTCTTTAGATAGAAGAGTACAGACTCTTTTAAAGAGAAGTGAAAAGAGACATTGCAGTGCCTGGGTTGACCAGACACCCATGAGGTAAACTGGAGTGGGGAATCCTGAATTCAGGTTTAGGATGGCCAGAGACATTTCTACTCATCAAGCTTGGAGATCTAGGAGATAACGAATTTCACTCACACATTACTTCCTCACCCTTTTATTTCTCTCTCTTAGTCTTTTTTTATTTTATTTTTTTTCCTTGCTAAGTCAGTTCACAATTTGGGACTGCCATAATATGCTAATTATGTATCCGAGAAGGTGTGCGTGCTGGAGTCAAAATGTAGGTAATACAAAATGCTAAGCCCTTCAAGATCAAACTGTTAGAAAATAGATGTGATAATGCACTTGTTCTGGTATTATCAACAGTTGGATTTGTCCTTCGCTAGAGAACATACGACATTTAAATTTTTTCTTTGTTAGTATGTTATTGAATTTATTGACTTTCCTCTGAATGTAATATGATATTTTAATTTTTCATTTTTGAATTTTGCTTTTCTATTTTCCTCAGGAAACATTCTTTAGCTCTTCCTGCACTTCCTCACCGTGTAGGCTCCATGATGGCAGAGATGTTGTCTGTCTTGTTTAGCATTGTATTTCCGGGATCATGCTCACACATACAAGACAATGAATACATATTTTTGAGTAAAGTAAACAAATGGATGAACAAGTGAATACTTTTGCATGCAGATAATCTTGCTAATTTTGTGTTAAAATGTCTCAAAAAATAATATGCGGTGGGAAATTTCTTTAAAAATTTAGTTGTGTCATAAAAGTTAAAGAGTCCCAGTACTAAGATGAGGTCGTTTTCCCTGTGCACACACTTTGTACAGTATCATTTAGAATATTGGTAGATAATTTTCTTAAATACAATTATATAATTTAATGATTCAACAGATATTAACATTATGAAAGTGATCTATATACATTTAAATAAAATATTCATTACGATGGGAGAGGTAGGAAAAACAAGCAAACATATATTTTCTTATAACGTGACCCTAATGGATTGAAATTCTTGTATCCTTTCCCCAGAGAAATGACTTCCTGTGAATGGGTGCCATTTTACTTGCAGGTAAAAATAAAGGCAATGGCCAGTTTAGAAACTATGAATTTATTACACTTGGAATACTGTTTGTGAAAATCTTTGACATCAAATACTTCTAAAGTTGTCCTATGCTGAGTGATATAAATCACTATAATTCATTTTCCAACATTACTTGAGGATTGTGTGCCATACGTCAGTATGGCATAATGGCAAAGATTGTGGTCCCTTGGAGCCAGAAATCCAGGACTCAAACCCAATCTCAGAATTAACTAACTCATTGACTGTGAGCCAGTTATTCAATCTCTCTGAGCCTCATCTCTAAATAAGAATGATAGAGTTGTTGTGAACGTTAAAATAAGTTAATGCATGTAGAGTCCCCAAGCCATGCCCAACATATCAGAAGTAATCACTAATATTATATTTAATATTAATATCTTAGTGTGTGGAGAGGATTAGTGTGTGGATAATTTGTCTATGGAGGGAGATATTACAATTACTATAATGTATGCTGCCCTGTGGATACCAGCTGAGACAAAATGACCTCTGAGTGGCCACTAGAAAAGTTGGCAGTAAGCACAGTGCCCATGTGGGTCGTGATGCTGTCTCCTTTTCCTATCTAGTGGAAGAGAATACTAGACTTTCAGGTCACTGGAGCAGTGACCGTTGTTAGCTAATGATATAGTACCTTATCACAACTTTTAGACACTTTGAGGCAAACTGTTCAACTTTTTATAACCTCTAAGTTTTATGCCTGAAAGTTGGGGTGTTTTGAATTGAAGAGACTGCTATAGAGATAATTTCTGGGATTAAAGATCTTGTGTGTAAGGATGACACAAAAACCTCACGATTCAAATGTATACTAGCTTTTCACCCAAAAGGCAACATTAGACAAGCTATTAAAAGTAACGGTGAGAATCACCATTACTTTCACACCAGCCTAATACTTTACCCCTGCACCTCCATTTCTATCATTTATTTGTCAAATGAAGTTTTGAGACCACATGACCTCTAGATGCCTTATTTCATCGGTAGAGTCCACTTTTACTCCCATTGTTTTCTATTTACATTGGCATTTTCACTTCCTTTTCTCTCTGATATCACAAGAATGGGAAAAAAAGTCTAAGACTTAGAGCTTTACATATATAGGGGCGTGTGTGTTTGTGTGTGTGTGTGTGTACACACACATATATATAAAACTTTTGCAAAGACCAGAGTCATCTACGAAAAGTTAACTCCAACAAATTGTAAATGTTGCTATGAGAAGAGGAAAACAGATTTTTTTTTAAATAGCAGAATATAATATGGGATGTCTGCAAGACTGCAGAGAAAATATTTTCATTTTCATATTTCTGAAGTTAGGGTTTTCTGAGCAAAGCTAAAACAGAAACTTCAGGCCTAAATTAAAGGAGAAGACTTTTACCTAAAAGATGACTGAATAGATAATAAGGGATTTACATCTTTGAGGTATGTCAAAGGGAGGCCAGGCATGGTGGCTCACGCCTGTAATCTCAGCACTTTGGGAGGCCAAGTTGTGCGGATCACCTGAGGTCAGGATTTCGAGATCAGCCTGGCCAACATGGTGAAACCCTGTTTCTACTCAACAATACAAAAAATTAGCCGGGCATGGTGGTGCACACCTGATAGTCCCAGCTACTCAAGAAGCTAAGGCAGGAGAATAGCTTGAACCTGGGTGGCAGAGTTTGCAATGAGCCAAGATAGCACCACTGCACTCTGGCCTGGGTGACAAGAGTGAAACTCTGTCTCTAAATAAATAAATAGATGTTAAAGGGAGATAAAATCCAGAACTATGGAAATATCCCATGGAATGAAACAGTGAAATGCATTTTTTTCCCAGTGAATTGCATTGACGTTCCAAAAGATAAGAACCCAGGGCCCTTCCCCTTCTTTTCCCAAAGGGAATATGTTCCCATTAGGGAGATTCAGTTTTTCTCCCTCCTTTTAAAGGGAAGCAGGTAATGTGTATATAAGCTCACAGATTCATATTTTTAGGGTTTCTCCTTTTTGGTTTATATACACAGCCCTATCTATCTGTCTCTCTGCATCACCCAGAAAGGGAAAAGATTAGGAGAAATCATTGTGCTTGTAAATCATGTGTTTACTTTCTGGATAATATTAATAAATATGAATTTTCAAAAATGATCATTATCAATGGAGCAAAAGTAGAAAAAGACCAAAGCTTTTATATGCAAGTTATTTCTTACAAATTACTGATGACATTAGAAGTGTTTGGACTGTTTTCCCCTAAATTGATCCATACTCATTTGTTTGAACTGTTAAATATTTTATTAATGAGAAAAAAATTGGGACAAGTTGTTGGGCTGATACAGCTGAAGGGAAGCTTTTGTTATTTAAAATACGGGGCAGGGATTATTTAGGAGAAAACTTAATTATTTTCTGTTTATCAATGGAAGGATGAAAGCTCTGCAATCTCTCATTCAGCCTTGGGCAGTATAAATTTTGAAACCCCGTTAAGTGACTTGATCATTTACTTCCGAACTTCTTGTCTGTAAAATTTTCTTCAGCTTTGATCATAAGGAACACTTTTTAAAAATACGCTGTGCTTTCGATGTTGTGTCTACCTTGATTTTTTCTTATCTCTGTCGTATACCATACTTAAGTGTAAGAAGTTTAGGGGAACTAAAGGAAATAAGGTACCTGATCCTCTTTCATCCATGTAATTTCTCCTGTTCTTATAAAATAGAATAGAGCAGGGAGTTATCACCCTACTCTGATGCCCATGTAATGCCTGATTATGAAAGACACTCATTCTGCTAAGCTCCTTTCCGTTTATTGTGATCAATTCAGACAGCTTTCAGACACAGACACTAGGAGTTAGATTCTTTATGAAATAAGTGGAAAATCTTTGTCCTATGAGGATCTACTTTTCTTTATGGATCTTCTATCAGGGATTAAATTGCAATGATTGTTACATTTTTATCAGTAACTAATGAGTCTAAATTGTTAAAAATTATGTCAGATGAGATACAAAACATTGACGCATTCAGTTTATTTAAGTTTTCACAAAATATTCAAAATATAAAAACTTCATGATAATTTTTAAAAAGCTGAAAGATGTATTGGTTTTTATATAAGGTAGAGGGTTTCTATATGAGAGAAAAGGAAAAAGATAAAAATAAAAAGAAAAGAGAAAGTTGAAAATAAAGGGATAAAAAATAGAGAGTAGACAATGGGGAAAGAAAGGTGAAAAGTTGAAGTATGTATTCAAATATCACATAAACATATTATGTCATGCATAACAATGTAAAATGTGTTGAAATGCATTAGTTTGAACAATGACAGTATTCTTTTAGTTTTTGCCTCCATCATGTTTTCAGTAAAATAATATTCAGTTTAATGTATACTTGATAGCTTTTATATGTTGATACATGTGGAGAATGTTAGTGACAGCTAATGATAACAATTTAGTCAACATTTATTGAGAATGTACCATGTCACAGATACACTGGGTCTTTGACAAACGTATAACGACATATATCAGCCATTATAGTATCATATAGAGTAGTTTCACTGCCCTAAAAATCCTCTGTGCTCGGCCCATTTCTCTCTGCCTCTCTCCTAACCTCTGGAAACCACTGATACTTTTACTGCCTCCATATTTGCCTTTACCAGAATGGCATGTAATTAGAATCATACAGTATTTAGCCCTTTCAGATTGGCTTATTTCACTTAGTAACAAACTTTCCTTGATGTGTTTTCACAAACTGATAGCTCATTTATTTTTTGTACTAATTAATATTCCATTGTCTGGATGTTCCACTGTCTGTTCATTTACCTGTTGAAGGATATCTTGGTAATTATGAATAGAGCTGTCAAACATTTGTTTGCAGGTTTTGGGGGCATAATTTTTCAGTTCACTTTGGTAAATACCAAAATGTTGAATTGCTGGGTTATATGGTAAGAGTATGTTTGCTTTTATTTTAAGAATTCCAAGGTGTTTTTAAAAGTAGTTATACCATTTTGCATTCCCACCAGCAATGCTTGAGAGTTCCCATTGAACCGCAACTTTGCCAGCATTTGGTGTTGTAAGTGTTTTGAAGACATATTCATTATTGATCAGAGAATATTATATAGTAAGAAAAAGTTATTAGAAACTCAGAGGACTTGGCTAAAATTTCACCTGGATGTATTAAAGATCTAGTCACACAAATTAATGTAAATAGAAAAGGAGTGTCAAAAACAGTCCCTGAGTACTGTATCTCAGGAGTGACACTTATACACTGTTATAAAATTAAGATATCTCCACTGTATGTAATTCAAATTATTTAAATTTAATACAGTATATGTACTTATGCTTTGACAGACACATGTAGGTTAAATTCATCCTGCTTTTTCAAGAAGTTGGGGACATACAAATGTATTCACCTAAGTTAATCTTCAGTATCCATTAGTTTTATTCTTTATTTTTTGGATTTAAAATTTATGAAATATGGTGGGGTGATGTACTTTTTAGTCCCAGCTACCTGGGAGGCTGAGGAGGGGAAATGGCTTGAACCCGGGGGTTAGAAGAGCTTGCAGTGAGCCATGATCATGGCATTGCACTCCAACCTGGGTGGCGGAATGAGACCCTGACGCTAATAAGGACATAAATAAATAAATAAATAGAAATTTACTCAATGCTTTATCTAGAATACGCCAGGCATTTGTTAAACCTGGGAATAAATGTATGAATAAATTATGGCTTTGTTTTAAAATAATGTATTAGTCAAAGTTGTTTTGGTTAAATGTGACAGAAACACCACTCAAACTGCTAAAGCATAAATGGGAATTTATTGTTCAAATAATGAGAGCTCAGTAGCAGGCTAACTTAAGGAGTTTAGAGTTCTTTACATGTTTTTTTCTGCTTCTGTCTCTTTTTTTCATTGTCTTTCTCCTTCAGAATTTATCATTTTATTTTATCACCCTTCTTTTTTGACACAGATGAATTCCACTGGGGTGGTGAAGGTGAGAACACTGCTACAAACAATTCCAGGAATACACCATTTCTATTTATAGTCTTAGAGAAAAGAGAGCTTTTCTCTCTGTTAACATACCCTTAAACCCTGATTTGGCTTACCTCAATTGAGCCATATTCTCATCTCTAGGGATTTTTGTGAATTATAATGCCTAGAGTTAGAAAGTGGCATTATGTTGAGTGGGTACAATAAGTGTTTCCATGCAGATAATTTGAAGAACTCACAAGGGTCCACCAGGTATACTCATATAATACTTTAATCAAGATAAGGATATGCTGTAGTAGGATAAATGAAGCACAGGCAAGCATTGTGGACCCAAAGATTTTTCAGTACCCTTTTATAGTTTCATAAAAATGCTTCATCTCTGAATTATGCATTACCAAGATATGTTCAAGAAATTTTCATTTCAAAAGTGCTTGGCAAAAGTTTCCAATGGGCTCATTTATGTGCCACTGATCACGTAACGTACCAGTGTGTGTAATCAGTTAGAACAGGAATAAACTACCAATCTATACATCCCAAAACAATGTAAAAAACTGACTGTGAGCACCACAAGGTGAATATGAACCTTAAACAAAAGATTATGAATTATTATCTATCTTCATTATTTTTACCTTAGTCAAGAGTTAGTACTAGACTTCAGATGTTGCCAGAAGCATAGAACTATGCTAGTCTAACTGAAAGATAACTTTACCTTACAGAAAGTGTGTTATATGTGTTATAGGATATGAGGAGGGTGATATGGTTTGGCTCTGTGTCCGCACCTAAATCTCAGCTTGAATTGTAATCCCTACGTGTTAAGGGAGGGAGGTGATTGGATTACAGGGGAGCTTAATCCATGCTGTTCCCATGCTGGTGAGTTAATTCTCATGAGATCTCATGGTTATATAAGTGTTTGACAGTTCCTCCTACACAGTCTTCTCTCTCACTTGCTGCCATGTAAGACATGCCTGCTTCCCCTCTGCCATGATTGTAAATTTCCTGAGGTCTCCCCACCTATGCAGAACTGTGAGCCAAGTTCTTTCTTTACAACCTCCTTTCTTTACAACAGTTCTTTACATCAGTGTGAAAACAGACTAATACAGTAAACTGACACCAGAAGTGGGGTACTGCTATAAAGATACCTGAAAATGTGGAAGCAGCTTTGAAACTGAGTAACAGGAAGAGGTTGCAACAGTTTGGAGGGCGTAGAAGAATACAGGATGAGGTGGAAAAGTATGGAAATTCCTAGAGACTTGTTGAATGGTTTTGACCAAAATACTGATAGTTATATGGACAACAAAATCCAGGCTGATGTGGTCTTAGATGGAGATGAGAAATCTATTGAGAAATGGAGCAAAGGTCACTCTTGCTATGCTTTAGCAAAAAGACTGGTGTCATTTTGCCCCTGCCCTAGAGAATTGTGGAACTTTGATCTTGAGAGAAATGATCTGAAATTAGAACTTACGTTTAAAAGGGAAGCAGAGCATAAAAATTTGGAACATTTGCATCCTTACAATGCAGTAGAAAAGAGAAACACATTTTCTGGGGAGAAATTCAAGCCAGCTGCAGAAATTTACATGAGTAACAAGGAGCCAAATGTTAATCATTAAGACAATGGAGAAAATGTCTACAGGGCATGTCAGAGATTCTGGTGGCAGCTTCTCCCATCACAGGCCCAGAGGCCTAGGAGGAAATACGGTTTCATGGGCAAGACCCAGGGTCCCTGCTATTCTATGCAGCCTTGGGACATGGTGCCCTGCATCCCAGCCCCTTCAGCTCTAGTTGTGGTTAAAAGGGGCCAAGGTACAGCTCTGGCTGTTGCTCCAGAGGGTGCAAGCTCCAAGTCTTGGTGACTTCCATGTGGTGTTGGGCCTGAAGGTGCATGTAAGTAAAGAATTGAAGTTTGGAAATCACTGCCTAGATTTCAGGGGATATTTGGAAATACCTGAATGTCCAGACAGAAGTCAGCTTCAGGAGTGGAGTCCTCCTGGAAAAACTCTGCTAGGGCAGTACAAAGGGGAAATGTGGGGTTGGAGCCCTCACACAGAGTCTGCACTGGAGCACTGCCTAGGGAAGCTGTGAGAAGAGGGCCACCATCTTCCTGACCCCAGAATGGTAGAACCACCGACAGCTTGCACTGGCTTGCACTGTGGGTCTGGAAAAGCCACAGGCACTCACACCAGCATGTGAAGGAGCTGCCCAAGGCCACGGGAGCCACCCCTTGCATCAGCATGCCCTAGATGTGAGACATAGAGCCAAAGGAGATTATTTTAGAGTTTAAGATTTAATAACTGTCTCACTGGAATTTGGACTTGCATGGGGCCTGTAGACACTTGTTTTGGCCAGTTTATCCCTTTTGAAGTGGGACATTTACCCAGTGCTGTAGCCCCATTGTATCTAGGAAGTAATTAACTTGCTTCTGATTTTACAGGCTTATAGGCAGAAGGTACATGCCTTGTCTCAGATGAGACTTTGGACTTGGACTTTTGGGTTAATGCTGGAATGAGTTAAGACCTTAGGGGACTGTCAGAAAGGCATGATTGGTTTTGAAATGTAAAAGACATGTGATTTGGGAGGGGACAGGGGTGGAATGATATGGTTTGGCTTTGAGTCCCCATCCAAATCTCATCTCAAATCTTTTCTCATGTTTAGAGAAGGAGGTGATTGGATCATGGGGTAGTTCCCTCCATGCTGGTCTCATGAGAGTGAGTGAGTTCTCACAAGGTGTGATGGTTTTATAAGTGTTTGACAGTTCCTCATGCATACTTTTCTCTCTCACCTGCCACCATGTAAGATGTGCCTGCTTCCCCTTCCAACATGATTGTAAATTTCCTGAGGCCTCCCAACCCATGCGAAACTGTGAGTCAATTAAACCTTCTTTCTTTATAAATTACCCAGTCTCAGGCAGTTCTTTATAGTAGTGTGAAAATGGACTAATACAGAGAGTATCTTTTCTTATGGTGGAAAAATCTGAACAAGTTACTATGCTATTAGAAAAGACCAAAAAGAAAGTGAAAAATTGAAGACCCAGGTAGAGAAGACATAGTAATTTGATCAGTCAGGATACATGATGGATTTGGAGAAGAGAAAAATATAATGAAGATAAGTGTGTACTTAACTTAAAAGAAAACGGTGGATAACTTTTTCTTGAGATGGAAAAGAGGGAGGCAAGGCTAATTTATATAAGCAGACTATGGTCAGTAAGAGAAAGATATCTAAGCTAGTTCTCAAAAAGAAATGACAGTTAGAATGTCAAACTTGTGAAATGCACCTGTCACTATGAGTATGTAACCAGAGTTCAGACTAGACATAAAATCCAGAGGAGAAAGGTGTTTTGTCTTTTGTTGTATTCTAAAATGGTTCTCTTTGTTTTGCCTCAGAAAAGCCTGAGTTGTGAGTAGGTGGTTCTGTCTTAGGAAAAAACCATGCAAGTTACAACACTCCAAAATCTTAAATGGTCTAAAATTCAAAATGTTTTCAGTGCCAAGATGATTCCACAAGTAAAAAATTTTATACCTAAACTGCTATGATAGGTCACAGTCAAAACTTTATTTTATATACACAATTATTTAAGATATTATATAAAATTACTTTCAGGCTATGTGTATAAGGTATACATAAAACATGAATAAATTTTCTGTTTAGACTAGGGTTCCATCTCCAACCTCATTATGTATATGTTAATATTCCAAAATCCTTAACATTCTAAATCCAAAACCCTTCTGATCCCAAGCATTTTGGGTAACAGTTACTCAATCTGTATCTAATTTAGGCTTTGTATGTATACATTGGGCTGTATTTATTTGTCACGACAGTAAGAAGGTAATTTATAAATTGGCCTGTGTTGATTCAGAGAGACCGAGAATCCTTGCCCTTTCCCAGTGAAGGAATATGGGGTGCTCAGACTATAATGAAGTGCCAAACGTTTGGAGTTGGAAAAAAGAGGAATGAAAGAAAGTGTACAGAAGACAAAAGGGCTTCAACCAGTCTGTGGAGTCAAATAATCTAGTTAGAAAAAGAAGACTAAGCTCCAGAAAAAAAGCACATAGCTCACTGCAGCCGTGTGGGCACAGTAAAACACTTTCACACAACCAATATACCATCTTTGGGGGAAGGAAAGAAATTCTGCAATTCTGAAAGACTCATGCTTTGTTCATAAGTAAAGTACTCCTAACACATTATTTAAACCAATACCAGATTTGTTAAATTAAACATTTAAACTAAAAACTGAAAGAGAAATTCTTTGAACCACTGAAGTCTGAAAGGGTTATTTGGCAAGCATAGGTTGCCTGACACACATTAAAAAATGAGATGGAAGAGAACATTCTGGATCTTATTAGAATAATTGTCTATGCTTTATATTAACTTGATTATGTCTTTGATTTTTGAAGAGACCAAAGTTCTCACATTTAAAAGAGCTAAGTTTCTTTACAATTATATTACCTCCTATGATTACTTTCAAAATCTTTTCTTGTCACTTTGATTAAGTAGGTAACTGACATGGCTTGGTTCTGTGTCCCCACCAAATCTCATGTTGAATTGTAATCTCCAACATTGGAGGTGGGGCCTGGTGGGAAGTGATTGGATGAATCATGGGGGTGGATCCTTCAGTAATGGCTTAGCACCATCCCCTTGGTGCTGTTTTCATGATAGAGTTTTTGCAAAATCTGGTTGTTTAAAAGTATGTAGCACCTCTACCCACTTCTTCCTGCTCTAGCCATATGAAGTACTGACTCCCTTTTCATCTTCCTCCATGATTTTCCCTGAGGCTCCCCCAGAAACCAAGTGGATGCCAGCATCATGCTCACGTATAGCTGTAAAACAATAGCCAATTAAACCCCTTTTCTTTATAAATCACCCAGTCTCAGGTATTTTTGTATAGTAATGTGAGAATGGACTAATACAGAAAATTGGTGCTGAGGAGTGGGATTTTGCTATAAACATACCTGAAAATGTGGAAGCAACTTTGAAACTCAGTAATGGGCAGATGTTGGAAGAATGTGGAGGGCTCAGAAGAAGACAGGAAGATGAAGGAAAGTTTAGGACTTCCTAGAGACTGCTTGAATAGTTATGACAGAAATGCTGATAGTGATGTGGAAAGAGATGGCCAGGCTGATGAGGTCTCAGATGGAGGTGAGAAACTTATTGGACACTGGAGTAAAGGTCACTTTTGCTATGCTTTAGGAAAAAGCCCGGCTGCATTATGCCCCTGTCCTAGAGATCTGTGGAACTTTGAACTTGACAGTGATGATTTAGGGTATCTGATAGAAGAAGTTTTGAAGCCCCAAGGCATTCAAGATTTCACCTGGCTGCTTCTAACAACCTGAGTTCATATGCATGAGCAAAGAAATGATGTAAATTTGGAACTTATATTTAAAAGGGAAGCAGAACATAAAAGTTTGAAAAATTTGCAGCCTGGCCAAGTAGTAGAAGAAACAAAACAAAACAAAACACTACCAGGAGAAGAATTCAAGCAGGTTGCAGAAATTTGCATAAGTAAAAGGAATCCAAGTGCTGATAGTTAAGACAATGGAGAGAAGGTATCAAAGGCATTTCAGAGACCTTTATGACAGCCCATCCCATCACAGACCCAGAGGTCTAGGAGGACTGAATGCAGGACTGCTACCTGCATCCCAGCTGTTCCAGCTCCAACCACGGTTCAAAGGGACCCAGGTACAGTTTGGGCCACTGCTTCAGGGGGTGCAAGCCATAAGCCTTAGAGGCTTCCATGTGTCGTTAAGCCTGTGGGTGCACAGAGTGCAAGAGTTGGGACTTGGAAGCCTCTGCCTAGACTTCAGAGAATGTATGGAAAAGCATGGATATCCAGGCAGAAGCCTGCTGCAGGGGCTGAGCCCTCATGGAGAACCCCTACCAGGGTGTTGCAGAGGAGAAATATAGAGTTGGAACCCCTACACAGAGTCTTCATTGGAACCCTGCCTAGTGGAGTTGTGAGAAGAGGGCCACCATCTGCCAGATCTCAGAATGGTAGATTCACTGACAGTTTGCACCATGTCCCTGAAAAATCTGCAGGCACACAATGCCGGCTCTTGAAAGCAGTGATGAAGGTTGTGTCCTGCAAAGCCACAGGGGCAGAGCTGCCCAAGGCCTTTGGAGCCCAACCCTTGCATCAGTGTTCCTTGGATGTGAGACATGGAATCAAAGGAAATTATTTTAGAGCTGTAAGATTTAATGACTGCCCTGCCTGGTTTTGGACTTGCATGGGGCCTGTAATCTCTTTCTTTTGGCCAATTTCTCTCTTTTGGAGTAAGAGAATTTACCCAGTGCCTATACCCCCATTTTATCTTGAAGGTAACTAACTTCTTTTTAATTTTACAGGCTCATTGGCAGAAGGGACTAGCCTTATCTGAGTCTTTGAACTTGAACCTTTGAGTTAATGCTAGAATGAGGTAAGACTTTGGGGGACTGTAGGGAGGCCAAGATTGTATTTTTAATGTAAGGACATGAAATTTGACGGGGGGGGGCAAGGATGGAATGATATGATTTGGATCTATGTCCCCACCAAATCTCATGTAAAATTGTAATCCTAAGTGTTGAAGGGGTGGTCTGGTGGAGGTGACTGGATCATGGGGGTGGATCCTTTATTAATGGCTTAGCACTATCCCCTTGTTGTGGTCCTTATGATAGAGTTCTCACAAGATCTGGTTGTTCAAACGTGTGTAGCACCTCCCTGCCCCCTTCTCCCTGCTCTAGCCATGTGAAATGCTGGCTCACCTTCACCTTCCACCATGATTGTAAGTTGCCTGAGGCTTCCCCAGAAGCCGAGAAGATGCCAGTACTTTGCTTCCTGTATAGCCTGCAGAACTGTGAGCCAACTAAATGGCTTTTTAAAATAAATTACCCAACCTTTGTTCCTTTCTGTCCACAGTTTTCAGGTAATTAATGATCCAATCTCAGGGTTTTGTTTTTTTTTTTTACAGGAGTGTGAGAATGGATTAGTACAGTAACTAAGTGTTTTTTGGTAACCCATTAGCCTACCTGTAGCAAGTTGAATAGTGGCCTTTAAAAGTTTATATTCATTTGAAATCTCAGAATGTGACCTTATGTAAAAATAAGGTCTTTGCTGATATAATTAGTGGAGGACGTCACACTGCATGGGATGGGCCCTAAATACAATGCCTGTGTCCTTATTCGAGATGAGATGGCACAAAAGAAAACACACAGTGAGGAAAATTCTTGTGAAAAAGAGACAAAGATTGGTGTGATATTTCCATAATTTAAGGAATGCTGAAGATCACAGGGAGCCCTTGGAAGCTAGGAAAAGGCAATGAAAGGCTTTTACCTAGAACCTGCAGAGACAACATGGCCCTACTACCTCTTGATTTCAGAATTCTGGTCTCCTGAACTGTGAGTGAATATAATTATGTTGGTTTTTGCTACCAAGTTTATGCTAATTTTTTATGACAACCCTCAGAAATTAATACAGACTTTGGTACTGAGAAGTGGGTGCTGCTGTAATATATATTTCAAAATGTGGAAGTGGTTTCAGAATTAGGTAATGGGTAGAAGGTTGAAGAATTTTGAAATGTTTGATAGAAAAAATCTAGTTTATCTTGGAGAGATGATTTGTAGAATTATAGGCACCAAATGTGATGAGGGCTTTGATGAAAATAAGGAAGACAGGAGAGAAACTGCTGACATTTACAGAATACATGTTATCTTTATGAATAAAATGTTAAAATATAAACATTAAACATGAGGTGTCAGAAGAAAATGAGAAATATAATATTGGAAAAGGGAAGAAAGGTGATCCTGGATGTAGAATGGCAGAAAATTTGGCCAAACTGTGTTCAAATATTAGGTAGAAAGTAGAACTATAAGAAATGGACTTGTATGCTGAGGTAAGGAGATTTTAAAGCAATGTTGAAAAGGTTTGGCCTGGTTTCTCTTTGTTGCTTATAATAAAATGAAAGAAGAAAAAGATAAATTGAGGATGAAATTCTTAAGCAAAATGGAATCAACACTAGATGGTTTGTAAAACTCTCAGCCTATCCAGATAGCCATAGATGAGAAAGTACGTTTTATAGAAAACATGAAGAGTGTTGCTCAACAACCTTTTGGTAAAGAGTTCAGACATGTGACTTATGGAGTCAATAAAACATTTGAGCAGAATCCATAAACAGAGAGCGGGTTCTAGGGGAAGAATTTGAAGAGGGAGGTTGACACACATAAAAATCAACAAGGTTTTTGAGAATGTTATATTGGGAGACACACTGAAAGTGCAGACAGAAAGGAACAAAGATGGAATAAAATGAAGGAGAAATGACTTGGAGGGCACAGTTTCAGATGTCAGAGAGGGAGAGGCTGCTGACAGTGCCAATGCCCGGAAGGTAGTTGCCAACTACAGAGATGCCATAGGCCTAGAAGGTACAGCCACAGGCCCAGAGGGCAGAAAAATGAGTCAAAGAATTATTCTTAGGCCTTGAATCCTAATATAGTTTGCCTTGGCAGCTTTCAAATTTGCTTGGCATCAGTGACCTCTTTATTTCTTTCAATCTTCCCTTTTAGAAAAGATTAAGGAATAAGAATATCTATCTTATGCCTATTCCAACTTCAGAGGGAGCATCACTCTGTAGAAACCTTGATTTGAACTTCTGGCCTTCTGCACTGGAAGAGAGTAAATTTCTGTTGTTTTAAGCTACCAAGTTCATGGTAATTTCTTATTGCAGACTAGGAAACTAATACACACTTTTAATTAAGTGTTCAAAATATTCTGATGGTTTTTGATATTTTATCTTCCTGAGATTGACCCCAAAAAATATCCTTTGCCCTTGCAGTTGTCTTCAAAATGTTTCTAAGTGTCCCTTGAAAAATCACAAAGATTTACTTCTTAACCTTATAAAACTTGAGGTGTTAAAAACAATTAGGTTTTTTTGGTGAGTGATTCATGATGAGTTGCATGGCAAGAACAATTAAATCAAAAAAAGATACTAGTCTGCCTTAGGTTAAATTTACATTGGTAAAATATTATTAAAGATAATATTTTAGAAGCTCTAAAGTGTAAGAAAAATTCTATAGATTTGCTACTGTCCTAATTGTTTATAATTTTTGTTTATATTTATCAGAATTATGTTTCTGGTCCTGCTTTGCCTATTATCACAAGAAAAATATAATTATCTCAGTTATAATTTCTTTTATTATTTTTCCTTTTTTTATTTTTATTTTTTTGAGAGGGAGTCTCACTCTGTCACCCAGGCTAGAGCGCAGTGGCACAATCTCGGCTTACTGCAACCTCCACCTCCCAGGTTCAAGCGATTCTCCTGCCTCAGCACCCCCAAGTGGCCTGGATTATAGACGTCCACCACCACGCCCAACTAATTTTTGTATTTTTAGTAGAGACGGGGTTTCACTGTGTTGGCCAGGCTGGCCTCGAACTCCGGACCTCAGGTGATCTTCCCGCCTCGGCCTCCCAAAGTGCTGGGATTACAGGCATGAGCTACCACGCCTGGCCAATTTCTTTTATTAAAAATGCTAACGTGGCTATAATTTTATGTTTAGAATTTTCATCTAGAATCTTTTAGGGTAGTGGCTTTAAACGAGGGATTTGCATCATTTACTCTGGGGTTTTATTAACACAGAAATGTTTAGGACCTAATTCACACTTAAAAATTTTGTTTACTTGATCATATATATTTGATGTTTTCTAACTATACGCTTGAAATATTCGCAGTGTATTACATATCAGAATTATCATGTGTTTTTGTTGTACAAGTTATATTTATTTTTAAAGATTATATGTAATATTCAGCCTTTTAAAAAGCAGAGTTAATCATTTTGTGTATAGATAGATATCTTGTCTAAAACTTTTTTTGGATTAACTTTATTACCTTGCTTGATTTGCCACAGAAAGATCAAATTTCTTTGTCAGTGCATTATTCTTATAATGAACTTTCCTCAGAGTTTTAAGTTTTGAACATTATCAGTAATAAGTTAATTATGGGCATTTTAATATTTTATGAGCTAAAGGCTTTGCTGTTGTTGTTCCTTTATTTTAATGCTCCTCTGGAAGTTCTTGTAATCAGCCACATGCTTATGCATTTCATCTTCAGTGAAAAACTGTTATAAAGCTCCAATGAAAAGGACTATGCCAGGTACTATTGGGCACAGATGATGTAACCAACGTTAAGGCCACGCTAACGTATTATTGAGTCAGAATTTCCAGAACTCTAGTGGAGAAGCAGATGGATTGATTAGATTGTCAACTCAAGATGGAGTGGAATAAAAATTAATTAGATAGTAAAGAATAAACAAATGAGGGATGCTATTTTTTTTGTTCAGAATACTGCTGATGTTTTAATCTTCTATTTTCAGGATATATTAGGAAGCCCTTTTGTCTTCCTAAGTTACCTATAACTCAAAACAATTTAGTAGAGTCTGCTTTTGTAAACAGACAAAAATTATATCTTATTCTACCTACCTGATCCCTCAAGGATTTAAAATAAATATTAAATATATTTATTTTCATAGCAATATAATTATTTACATAGGTTTGATAAGAACATATCTTCCTTGATATAGATAATTGGAAACATTGGTTATTCAAATGTCAACCAAAATTATTAAATGGATCTGAATCCAGTTTTAAAGAGTTTAGCCAAATGAAAAGCTAGGAATAGCCATTTGGGAGACACAGGCTCCAGAGAAATGGGATCAGTGGTTCACAATTAAATATAAGTTCTTGCTTATATAGGCAGAAAAGAAATAAATTTAACAGAATTACAACATTTTGTATATCTGGCTGGCTTATGAGTTACAACAAATTAATTATTGTTTTATTTTTCATACAGGTTGTTTCCATTTCTTTTTAAGTTTAAGAGCATATTTTAGATTCCATCTTAAGACAATGTAACAGCTGTGAGTCTTTTCATGAGAAAGAAAAGAAGGCAGTTAGTCTATAATGAAGATGAACTGTCAAGAGCATGTGAAGGGGAAAGGGGTCTTCCCTGGCACCAATCAGTCATTTATATTTTACAAAACAATGCAGGTAAGGAAGAGGCTAATCTTTAATCATAGAAACAAAAGCTACAGTTTCCTAGGTTAAAGCTGTCTGTGACATGACTCAAGTCCCATAATTACACTTTTTTAAGTTCAAAATAATTGGGAATAACTTAAATTTTAATGACTTATTTTTCACATTTTCTGCCTTCTTATCAAGAACTTTCAAAGAAAGCATCTTAGATGATGATATGATTTGACTGTGTCCCCACCCAAATCTCATCTTGAATTCTATTATAGTTCCCATAATCCTCATATGTCATGGGAGGGACCAGTAGGAGGTAATTGAATCATGGCTGTGGCCATCCTCATGCTGTTTTCCTAATAATGAGGCACCTTTTCTCAGGGCAGCGGGAGAGAGAAGTGCTGAGCAAAGGAGGGAAAGCCCCTTTTAAAACCATCATCATAATATGATTACAATAGGTGACTATATCTCCTTTTACTAATAAGGAAGCACAATTTCTGGAAACATTTTCATTGGTCTGCTTGTTATAATTTCAAATGGAGATAACTCGTGCTTGAAGGAAGTCAATCTTAGGTTTTGCAAAAACAGTGCAAGAACTTTTTGCTAAGAGATTTTTAACAGCCTTGGTTAATATTGCCAGTTGTTTACCAATCTAGATAACCGGGGGTGATAAGCACAATGGACATTGTATAGAATAGGTCTGACTATATATACTGATTAAATTATGTGTCCAGTGAAGTCGGTGCTTCTGTCACTATGAGGTTCTAGAAAAACCCCTGGAATGAAAAAATATATATAATTTTACTTACTTCTCTTTTTTTCTTTTTATTTTTCCTTTTTTTTTTTTTTTTTTTTGAGACGGAGTCTCGCCCTGACGCCCAGGCTGGAGTGCAGTGGCGAGATCTCGGCTCACTGCAAGCTCCGCCTCTTGGGTTCACCCCATTCTCCTGCCTCAGCCTCCCGAGTAGCTGTAACTACAGGCACCTGCCACCACACCCGGCTAATTTTTTGTATTTTTAGTAGAGACGGGGTTTCACATGTTAGCCAGGATGGTCTCGATCTCCTGACCTCGTGTTCCGCCAGCCTCGGCCTCCCAAAGTGCTGTGATTACAGGCGTGAGCCACCACCGCGCCAGGCAGTTTTACTTACTTCTAAGGCCATTGATCTTCCGCAAGGAAATGACTCTACCCAATAAGAAAGCATGCAAATCATTATCAGGGCATGTTATAGCCTCAGCAGAGTGGCAGTTGGATAAAATCTAGTTGCCGTATTTCAAAGGGAGCCTCAGGTAAAGGAAAGTGTCCTTGGGAACAATGTGATATTTTTCCTGGATTATATTTTGGGCAAATATGTCAGTGGTCGTACACCTTATGACCCATAGTTGGAGAAGGTTTTCAATAATACTGTTTTCCTTAAGCAACCATTTTGCCAAGACTCCAGTGAGTTAGACCATCTACATAAATTAAAAAGAATAACTGTAATTTAGCAGGAAATAGGGATGAATTATTTGGTGTATACTATATCTCACCTTTTGGGGAGTTTTTTTCCATTTTTATTTTCCAACCTTTTTTTTTTCTGATTTTGGGACTTTGGATCAAGTTACT
Source organism: Homo sapiens (assembly GCF_000001405.40). Taxonomy (NCBI): domain Eukaryota; kingdom Metazoa; phylum Chordata; class Mammalia; order Primates; family Hominidae; genus Homo; species Homo sapiens. The sequence goes on from NC_000003.12 coordinate 82,459,728, forward strand.
TTTATGACAAATTCAGATGCTTCTTTAAAAGTTAATATAAGTTGGTTTTCCTGTTTAGATATGTTTTGAATAGCTCTCTTTGCTACCTTCTCAGCTAGCTGATTTCCTCTGCTTTCTGGAGTATCTGATTTGGAATGACCTGGGATTTTAATAATGGCCAGTGATTTTGGCCAGCAGTAGCTGTTAGGCCTATTAAGTGGCTCAAGTACTTTACATGTAACTACTTTACCTGTTTTTGACAAAATCAAAGTTTCTGTTTTTAGATAACTTTCATTTTAGATAACCTTGCTTTAAGGAAAGGTCATCATTGCTGTATTTTCTTCCAGTTGACTACCTTTTGGAAGACTAAAGGCATGGCTACAAGCAGAGCCTTTGCAGTTTCACAGGCATGCCTGCAGTCTTCTTCTGAACCTGTACGGAAATCCTCTAGGGGATTTATCTAAAGGGCTCTATCTATCAATCCTTAGCCTTACTTTCTGAAACTAACATGTGAACTAGTTGATATAAATCAGAAAAGCAGGGTCACACGCTTGAATATTTAGTTTAAATTCTTTGGCAAAGTCAGTAGAGTCCTGATGAGGATTGGGAAAATCCTTAATTATGCCTTTAAGTTCTATCTTTGGCCATGGCTGATAAAGGCAGGTTCCTGCCCCTTGAGACACACTGATTGTTGATGAAACAAGGCCAGAACCATCAGGGACAGGAGGTGAAGAAAGGGAAGGCAGATCAGGGTAACGTAAGTCAGACAGTAAAGGGGAAGGAGGAAAAGGAGCTAAGGGAATAGAAGGAGAAGCTTCAGAGGGAGAAGCTTCAGCAGCCTTTTTAAATTAGGAAAATGTTTTAGATAATCTTTTGTTTTCTCTCTGTAAAGAAATAACTTTATAAGAACCTCTTTTGGACCCTTCCAAATACCACTGGAAAAAACTCTTCCAATTATTCTCTTTTATTCTAGAGCTGGCATTTACTAATTGAAAGCACAAATGAACTAGTTTAGGCACTTCAAAGATACCCTGCCTTGGCTATTTCAATTTAGGGTTGTCACAAGTTATATATGACTATTTATCTAAATCACAACAAGAGGTCGCACCATAAGTATTTTACAGGAATTCAACTGTAAATTGAATTCATCTGTAAATTGAAATCTAAAGATTCTAAAGGTGGTTTCCTCCTTAAGATGGACTCAGTTTTAGTTGGCTGATTGTTCATTATTTATATTTTCCTTGTAGGTGATCAAAGCTAAAAGGAAAGATGTTTCGGATCAAATGTACTGCTTATGGGAATAGCTCCCCAACATGTCGCCCTTTGTTCACTTCTTCTCTCTCATGTGTCACGATGAACGTCAGGAATTGTGGGCTGCTTAAAGCACTGGGAGTTCACCCTTCATGTGGGCCCACCAGTTTAAGCAAATTCCCCTGTATTTTTTTTCTGGCGGGGGAGGGATTCCCTATGAGACTTTTCTGTTTTGTTTTGTTTTGTTTTCATGAACTATAAACTCCAACCCTGCCACGTGACCTCAGTTGCGTGAGGTGCCTTTCGGCTGGGAAGAGCAGTCTTCTTTCATCTTTGGGGCTTCTCACATTCTCATTAAGGTCTTTTAAATATATTCTTGGTCACTCAAAAAAAGAATTTAAATGTGCCAATATGAACTGAGCTTCAGAACTTGACAGTTTTAAATCGCAAATTTTGCTTAAGCCACCGACATTCACTCTCTTTCTCTTTAACCAGATTTGCATGAGAGAAAAGCTTGCAGCTTTTAGCAAGTAAGACAAACAAAACCTTAACTTCAAAGAAGAGTGAACCACAAACATGCAAACAGCAGAATCTCTAGAGGAAAATCAAACACAACTCCTACCTTAAAGCAGTAGAGCTTAAATTCCAGCCCCATGGAGCATGGAATTGGGTCACTTGAATAAAGTCTGACTCTCACTTAAGCCAGGGTGATTTGGAACCCAAGAGGGGCCCTGCTAAGAGCTCCCACAAAATCCAGCAAAGTCGGTTGGATGGAAATTGTTTAGCCAGTAGCAGGTGCTGATTGATGAAGCAGAGGAGGTCAAGGCAAAGGTTCTCTTTGGGTCCCTTCCTGAGGCACCAAATATGTCAACCTGAAATAATCAAAAGGATCAGAGTCCGGTTTTAGAGTTTATTCAAGTGAAAAGCTTGTAAGAGCCATTCCAGAGACAGACTCCAGAGAAATGGAGTCAGTGTTCTGAAGTTAAAAGTTAAGTTCTTATATAGGAAGAAAACAAAGAAAATTAACAGATTTACAATATTTTCTCAATATGACTCATTTTTGAGTTACAGTTTAATCATTTATTTTTTTCCTGTATACCTTATTTCCATATCCTTACCAATTTAAAAGAGTATGCTTCACATACCATTTTAAGACAATATGATGGTCATGAAGTCTTTGTGTGGGAAAGGTAAGAGAGAAGTTAATCTATAATGAAAATCAACAATGAAAATGGAAGGGATCTTACCTGGTGCTTTTCAATGATTTAAAACATTTTACCAAACAACACAGGTAAGGGAGAGGCTAATCTATAATCATAGAAACAAAAATTACAGCTTTCTAGGTTACAGATGCCTGCCACGCAACTCAGACCTTATACTCACATTTATTTAAGGTTCAAAATGAGTTCCAACAGCTTACATTTTGAAGTAGTAATTTTCACACAACCAAAGCCTTGACTAGAATGTCATCTTTGAGAATGGTGCTCATTTAATGGGACATGACCAGAAACTTTTAAATAAGCGAGTTTGACTTTACAGAGGCAATGTTTACGAAACCTTCTTGGGGCGACTGCCATGGTCAATCACTTAAAATGGTTCCAAGCATTAAAATTGAGTCAGGAAAGTCACTCCTGGGAGGTCTAGGAACTTTAGCATATTTTGGACATCTCAGCAACATAGAATTTTTTCCAAATTAATTAGTACTGCAGATAAAATCTGGTAAAAATTTAGGGTTGGTTTCCTAGCTTCAAGAAGCTGTTAAGTCCAATTTAATTTTCCTTCTGTAAACTTCTAACAAAGTAATTCAAGAAGACCTAAATCGTAAACTATCATTCTTGTTGTACCTATGTTAGTAACTAGAATAGTGATACCAGCCTTATTTTGCAATAAAAATGATCTTTCCTTGAAGGTGCTTTTCATCAAATTGTTACTGGTGGTAAATCTGTATGTGTCCACAGCAACCTTAATTCCTGCCTCCTCAGAAGAAAGAATTTGACTAAGGAGCATAAGGCAGAAGAAGAGACAGAGGCAAGTTTCCGAGCAGAAATGAATGTTGATTTAAAAACTTTAGAGCAGAAATGAAAGGAAGTAAATTACACTTGGAAGAAGGCCAAGCTGGCAGATTGACAGATCAAGTGCACAGTTTGACTTTTTGACTTGGGGTTTTCTATGTTGGCATGCTTCCAGAGGCTTCCATCCCTTCCCCCGATTCTTCTCTTGGGGTGGACTCTTTGCCTGTACAGCGACCTACCAGCATGTGGGAGGGGTTGTACACGCAGTGTGTTTACTGGAGTTGTGCACATGCTCACTTGAGGTGTTCTGCCTGTACCAGCCTGAATGTTCCTAGGTCGTATACCAGTTAAACTCTGCCTTTTTGCCACTTAATGCACATGCTTGAGCCCACTCGCCCACCTCCTGAGATCTAATTGGGAAGCTGGTGATTACCAGTTTCAGGTTTGTCTGTTTATTAAGAGGTGTTTATTTTCCTTGGTGCTGGCTGTGACCAATTTTTTTTTTAGAGATACAGCTAACAACAGTCTGACTGTCATCTAATGGTCACCTGAATTCCTGGCGTGTGTGTGTGTGTGTGTGTGTGTGTGTGTGTGTGTGTGTCTGGTGTGCTCTCCTACTGTGCTCATGTCTGACCTACTGTAACCAAATGGGCCATCAAATTAGAGAAAATTTTTGTGTTTCAATAGAAACCTGTATTTTCTACAGTACTTTTTTGCAGGTTGTCAATTCCTGTTTTGCACCTCCGTAAATTCCTGATTACTGGCAAGTTTGCTACCACTGTCTTCCCTGATGGAGGTTCAATTTACATACACTCTACTCCCCACCGCGCCCCCCAAAAAAATCCAAAAAACTATTATGTGTCAGTTTGGGCATAAAATACCCAGATTAAACACTATTGCTTGATGAGTTTGTGATGGTGTTTCTGAATGAGATAAGCATTTGAACTGGCAGACTCAGTAAAGTAGATTAAACTACTAAATGTGTTTGGGTAGGGGACATCACCCAATCCCTTGAGGGCTTGAATAGAACCCCTCCTGCCTGAGTCCTTGAGCTGAGATATTGATCTTCTCCAGAACTGCTGGTTCTCAGGCCTTCTAAGTCAGACTGAATTATATCACTGGCTTTCCTGGGTCTCTAGCTTCCAGCAGATCAGTCATGGTGGGACCTTTCAGCCTTAATAATTGCATGAGCCAATGAGAAATAATAAAACCTCTTCACACATAGGTAGGTGTATGTGTATTTATGAGGGGTGTATATATATACCCACATACACATACCTATATATGAAGAGATTTTATTCTATGTGGAAAGAGAATACATATATATATATATGAAGAAGGTTTAATTGACTCATAGTTCCACGTGACTGAGGAGGGCTCAGGAAACTGACAATCATGGCTGAAAATGAAGGGGAATATATATATGTGTGTGTGTATATATATGTCTGTATATATAGATATATGTGTATATATATTTATATATATAGATATATGTGTATATATATATAAATATATGTGTATATGTATTTATATATATAAATATATGTGTATATATATATATATATGTGTATATATATAAATATATGTGTATATATATTTATATATATGTGTATATGTATTTATATATATAAATATATGTGTATATATATAAATATATTTATATATATAAATATATGTGTATATATATTTATAAATATAAATATATATAAATATATATTTATATATATAAATATATGTGTATATATATATATATATATGTATATATATTTATATATATATAAATATATATATATATATAAATATATGTGTATATATATATAAATATATGTGTATATATAAATATATGTGTAAATATATGTGCATATATATTTATATAAATATATGTGTATATATATTTATATAAATATATGTGTATATATATAAATATATGTGTATATATACATATATAAATATATGTGCATATATATAAATATATGTGTGTATATATTTATATATATAAATATGTGTGTATATATTTATATATAAATATGTGTGTGTATATATTTATATATAAATATGTGTGTGTGTGTGTATATATTTATATATATAAATGTGTGTGTATATATTTATATATATAAATGTGTGTGTATATATTTATGTATATAAATGTGTGTGTATATATTTATATTGTATATAAATGTGTGTGTATATATTTATATTGTATATAAATGTGTGTGTATGTATTTATATTGTATATAAATGTGTGTGTATGTATTTATATTGTATATAAATGTGCTGTGTATATATTTATATTGTATATAAATGTGTGTGTATGTATTTATATTGTATATAAATGTGTGTGTATGTATTTATATTGTATATAAATGTGTGTGTATGTATTTATATTGTATATAAATGTGTGTGTATGTATTTATATTGTATATAAATGTGTGTGTATGTATTTATATTGTATATAAATGTGTGTGTATGTATTTATATTGTATATAAATGTGTGTGTATGTATTTATATTGTATATAAATGTGTGTGTATGTATTTATATTGTATATAAATGTGTGTGTATGTATTTAATTGTATATAAATGTGTGTGTATGTATTTACTTGTATATAAATGTGTGTGTATGTATTTATCTTGTATATAAATGTGTGTATGTATTTATCTTGTATATAAATGTGTGTGTATGTATTTATCTTGTATATAAATGTGTGTGTATGTATTTATCTTGTATATAAATGTGTGTGTATGTATTTATCTTGTATATAAATGTATGTGTGTATATATTTGTATATATATATGTATGTGTGTATATATTTGTATATAAAAATGTATGTGTGTATATATTTGTATATATAAATGTATGTGTGTATATATTTATATTATATATAAATGTATGTGTGTATATATAATATATAAATGTATGTGTGTGTATATATAATATATAAATGTGTTTGTATATTTATATTATATATAAATATATATGTGTATACATGTGTATATGTGTACATATTTATATATACACATATACATATATAAATATATACGTATATTTATATATATATATTCTCATTATCTGGAGAACCATATATATATGCCCATATACATATATATGCACACACATGTATATATATGTGTGTGTGCATATATATATATATATTCCCCTTATCCAGAAAACCCCAAGTAATACAGGATTGGTAGATTAGTTTTGAAATGCTGAAAATCGAACTAGACAATACTTTCTTATTTTCAATATTTACCCAATTTTTAATTATTCATTTCCTTCCATACATTCATGAAAGAAACATTTTCACATTTTCTTCCTATCTCCTACCATGACAACATTGAGAACTAAAATATGACTATCTAGATCCTTATTGGTATTTTAGGTTGCCTAGCAGCTGTTCCATTTCCCCAGAAATTAAAGATCTGTAGACTAAAACCTAATGACTTCAACTAAACCTCAAAGGAGTCACCACCACAACAGAACATGCAAGAAAAGCATTTTTTCCTGGACAATCTGCTGTCTGAATGATATGGTTTGGGTCTGTGTCTCCACTCAAAATCTCATCTTGAATTGTAATCCCCACATGTCGAGGGAGGGACCTGTAATCCCCCATATCAAGGAAGAAAGGTAATTGGATCATGAGGGTGGTTTCCCCCATGCTGCTCTCATGATAGTGAGTTCTCATGAGACCTGATGGTTTTATAAGTTTGGAAATTCCTCCTTTGCTCTTCTCTTTCCTGCTGCCTTGTGAAGAAGGTGCTTGCTTCTCCTCCATCTTCGGCCATGATTGTAAGTTTCCTGAGGCCTCCCCAGGCATGTGGAACTGTGAGTCAATTAAACCTCCTTCCTTTATAAATTACTCCGTTTTGGGAATTTTTTGTAGCAGTGTGAAATGGACTAATACACTGAACCACGTAAGAAATCTGGCAAAATCCTTGGATCATGCATGTCTTCATATGACAAATAACCATGACTGTGAACAACATCACCAAGAGCGTCAACATCCTAGTTTTGAGAGTGTAAAGGAAATGAGCGTAATTGAAAGATTTTCCTTTACCAACCTCTTGACCTCTTGGAATACACTAGACTGTTTATCCTCAGAATTAACTTCTGGCTCTTTTTGTTAACACACATTTTATATAATGTCTCTTTTTTAATTGAATCATTTCTTTTTTATTTTAAGCATTTCTTTTTTAGGACACTTAATATTCAAGACTTTAAACAACTGGCCTTTGCTATCACCTCTCAACAAATGGTCCAACTGGTTTGGCAGGAGCAAGCCCAAATGAAGCCTCAGGCAATTTCTTAGAGACTATTTTCCTTCACTCAGGAGGTTTATGATCACTTATGAATTGTTCAACTAGAAATCCTATTCATTTTGAATAAAAGCGGGTAGGTGCTGATAATGGTAAAGTTTACCTGGGCCCTACACACTTGGAAAACAGGAATGGTTAAGAAATATCCCAGTATTTTGTATTATGAGAAGTTGCTAATTTTCAAGGACTCTCATGCATGTTCTAAGAACTCATCATCTGTACTCTTTCTCCACCCCTCTTTGTGACTACCATAAGAAATTTGGCTCATACTTTCACAATTCCTCCCAGGCTCCATTCCTTTTTGGGGGATGTTTCTCCCTGTTACCATAGCCTGAATACAATCATTTCCTTAATTGCCCAGTACAATTTTATTTCTCATATCCCTGCCTAAGGAACATTTTGTTATAAAAGCATCAAAGTACAGAATCGAAATCTCTGTAAAAACCGGAGGAGAAAAAAACAACAACAAAGAAGTTTCAAAGTGATTTCCTGAACTCATATAGTGTCCAATTTATTTATTGTTTAAGTGAGAAAGGCTCAGTACTTATCTCTCCGTGAAACAAAATGGTGTTAGAAGGAAAATAAATCACTTGTATTAATGTCCAACAGCTTAGCCCAGGATGCTATACAGAGTATTGTGAAATTACCCTGAATTTAACTGGGTATTACACAACAGAGCCAAGAAAATGGGTTTATATTATTTCTTACTTTTTTTTTAATAAGACACAAAAGCCTAAGTACCCAGTCACAAAGATTTCAAAGATTCATTAATATCAATAATAAGTATGTATTTTATTTGAAAGAAAATTTTATATCTTCTTTACACTAAATATATTCTGGAGAAACCTGCATTTTCTAAAATAATCTTCTTAAGTTTTTGAATAGTTTTAAGTACATTAAGAGATGAAAAATAAATGACTTGATGTGACCAATAGTTAAATAATTTTAACAACCTTTACAATTTCAGTGTGACAGAAAAAACTATAATTTTACAACATATGAGTTAAGCCATGCTTTTTTGAAATGCATATTTACAAAAGAGCATTACAAAGCTTATTGAAATAATAAGCTGAAAATAGTATGATATAATTATTATTTTAACACTTGCATATTTAGTTTTCATGATAAAAACTATAGGCCACTTTTGATTTAAGCCTTTCCTTTTTTGGTCTCACATTCAAGTTTCAAATGTTGCCTCCACTGAGATAACTAGCTGCTTTAAACAAATTGAGGTGGAATCAATTTCTCAGAGCAGACTTATGATCTTTTCCTTACTGACTATAATTTAGCATTTCAAAAAGTCACAAAGGATTTTAAACCCCCATAATTCTCATTGACTTTGATAGGAACTGTATTGATCAGTTTTATAGCATCTGTAACCTTTGAATAAGATGAAGAAATTTAAGTGTCATGGGCAGGATAGAGTAACCTAAGACAATACAGATATGGGTAGGATTTTTTTTTCAGTATCAACAGGAACCTACCAACTACTCTATATGGATGTTTGAAGATAATGGTCTGATTATATAGGTAAACGTACTCCCTTTAAAGGTTTAGCTGCCCTAATTGGTTGTAATGATTGATTAGTTGCTTATTAGGTGAAAGCCAAACCACCAATCCAACCACTTCTGACATTTAAAGGAAATGTCTTATGACATCACTGGATGTGCCTGCCCATGACCCAATACCCCATTCTCCTTCCATTGAGGAGATAGATGCTAAGATGGTAAAAGGCTTGAATCATGTATGTTGCCAGCTACCATTATATCTGAATGCCAGCAAGTAATAAGTCTGGGTTAGCAAAATAAAAATAATAATGATGAGATCCAATTAACATTAATAAAGCAGCACAAATATATACTGGGCATCTAAAGAGGCTATTTAGTTGAATGCTAAGTATCTAAGTTGCAGTTCAGGATATCTCTAATGCCCTTCTAATGCTTTTCTTATGCTCTTCTGCTGGGTATCAGGAAAATGTCATGTTTTCTCTTTTGTTATAGTCAAGGAGTAAGCACACAGTGATAATGAATCTATATTGGAAATGTGGAGGGGATGGTAGCCTCAAGAAGGCACAAGGTTACACTTGTATTGTTATATCAAGCAAAATATTCATCATTTAAACCAAATGAAATTTCTAAATGCCAATTTAAAAACCATGAAAAGTCTTTAACAAATATATTACAATCAAGAAGAGTGGGCTAAATATTTTTTCACATCATTTACCAGTGATTGTTGTAAATGTACTTCCACCTTAATTAATAAAAGATGATTTCAAAATGAATAAATCACAAAGGATTTTCTTCTAGCACTTGGCTTAATGATGAATAAATGAAGATGAGAGAATTCTGTTGGAACATAAAGACTTTTTTTTTCCTAAAGGTGAGCTAAAATAGCTTTTAAAAATACACAAAGAAAATGTATTTTATTGAAAAGAAAAATCTTCATTCACTGTATTTGACATTAAAGCTAAGGGAAATCTGTAGAAATAAAGTCTCTTCAAAGACCTTTTCATGTGTAGGCGTTCTGATTAACTGATTGAGAAGAGGACAATAATATTTCCCCCCTCAGATTAAAAAAAAAATTAAAAATAAATGCAGTTAATACAATTGCAATGAAAGAGTCAGTTAAGTGGAACAGTCAATGTTATAGAACAGTGAGATAGCAATAATCATAAAAAAGAAGTTTTAAAACGGGAAGAAATGAAAATGCAATTTATGTTTTGTTAACGGTGGACATTTTATGCGCTTATGAAGAAAAATGTCTCATATTTTAGTCAGTAATGTATATTTCCAATTTGAGGGCAACTATTCAGTTGAAGTGAGTATTTTAGGGGAGAGAAATGTTCTTCCCACCTTATTAGTGTTCAGTGTTATTATTAACTGAAGATGATTCTCTCATTATAGTTGGAACACTGAGGTCAAATTGCAGTCTCTGGTCATTAATATCTTGGGGCCCTTTTACAAGTTACTCAGATCCCAAAGCTTTGGATTCTTTGGAAATAGAAAGATATTTGAAGATAAGATCTCCAAGGCTCTTATGGACACTATTTTTACCTTTTAAAAATCTTGCGACATGACACCAAATAACAGAGAAACAAATAAAACTCTACAGATTATATACAAATCATTGCTATGCTTGTATCTCCTTCAATTTCGTGTGTTGCATCCTAGCCCCCAAAGTGATGGTATTAGGAAGGGAGGCCTTTGGGAGATGATTAGATCATGATTTTGATAAATGCTTTTATAAAGAGACAATTATAAAATTATCTCTTTTATTAAAAGGGGGAGAGCTAGCTAGCCCCTTTCAGTATGAGAGGAAACAAGGAAGAAAGTGCCATTTATAAGAAAGTGTGCCCTTACCAGACACCAAACCAGCAGGCACCTTGATCTTAGACTTCTCAGACTCCAGAATTGTGAGAAATAAATTTCTGTTGATTATAAGCCACCCAATTTATGGTAGTCTTTTATAGCAACACAAATGGACTAAGATACCCAAACAACCTTATACAGTGTCATTTGCTTATAGCAGTCTTTGCATTTTAGCAAGTACAGGCAGGTTATAAAAACAAAACAAAGCAAAGCAAGCATAATGTGTCTGCTTTTTTTAAATATAAAAGACAAAACAAAACACTTGGAAGAACAGAAGTGTTTTTATTTTATTTAACTATGATGGAGTTTCTAACAGAAATAAGAAAATGATGTGAGTTCACTTAAGATTGTTGATAAAAAGCTATCATCCAATGTATGATGAAATGTCATAAAGAAAACCACAAACTTGGTATCAGTGTCAGATAAACTAGAACCCAATATTACAGTTAAACTTTCTACGTCATTTTTCAAAGACTATGAAAACATTATAAATCAGAATACTGTAAGCATTTTTCACCAGGCGTGGATTGAAAATCCTTTTAAAGGGTAATTAGCTACTTCATCTTTCTCTATGTCAATGACAACAGTTCCTCACAAAAATAAAAGATCTCAGGTATCCAATTTCCAGTCTTTGCTTTGACTCATTGAATTTAGAAAGTAACACAATTGAGCTGAATTTCTCAATTTGGAAGAACTTCTCAGCTGACCAACTGCATATATATAATTTAAATACTCTACCTAGATGTAAAAATCCAACTTTTTCACATGACTGTCCCCTATAAGGTACATCACATGAATTGCTTTGGGTACAAAAATGCAAATTTTAAAAAACCATTTTTTTGTTTTATTTTATCTTTTTTTTTTTGCTCACTCTAAAATACAATTTAAATGAGTCTATCAAGTCACTGACTTAAATTTTTTAAAACTGATAGAATTTAGAATTGTATGAGGGTGGATTCCTTCCCTTTCCATCCAGGATGGAAAGAGGTGATCCCTTTCTTTTCCATCATAAGAGTCATGGATGGGCACACTCCTATAATAAAAGAAAGATTAACAAGATAAATTTATAACAAATTGATTTAACTATAGTTTTATGTGACATGGGAGCCTTCAGAATGGATACCAAAGGACAGGGAAAAGTAACAATTTTTATGCTTAGGTTTGATAAATAATGAACAGCCATATAGAAAGAAGACCGGACAAAAAGGGTGATCTAATTTGGAGTGGAGAAACCCAGCAAGGACTGTCTATTCAGATTCTTTTTTGCCTTTCGGCTATAACACTTTTTCCTCCTGAGTATGGGGCAGTATCTTTTCTGGAACGGGGTCTTACGACCTACCATCAAACAACGTATGCCAGATAATTTCTTTATGGCCAGTTTTTACACAGAAAGATGAGGAAAAGTTTGAGCAATATTTTTAGATTTTTTCACTTGCTTTGGGGAAAAGGGTTCCAGTGTCTATGATCTGCCTTAGGGAAAAGAGTTTGTAGTTACTATGGCTTGCTCTGGGAGAAGGACAGGAGGGAGACAGGAACACAGAAGAAAGTCAGAAAGAGACTTTTCTTCTTAGGCTACTTCTGAGGTCTTCTCTTTAGGGTGTCATTCTCTGAGCCCCAACAGTTGGCAAATGCTTTTCAACAACCTCTACCTTTTCAACAAAGTCTACCATATCATATTAAACCTTTTGAAAATTTTACTGACTAGAAACTGAATCATTCCAACTAATGAGGTGAGTATAGATTAAGGTTTTAGAGGTTCTATAACTTTTGGTTCTGAGAGAGGAGGAAGTTAGGGGCTGGTTAGGCACATAGAGAGGGAGGGTTTTGGGAGAGGGAAAGAGAAGGGCAATGTTTACAGGATCAACTGTGGAAGAGCACCTGTACCACCTCTGCAGTTAATGGGAAGAAATGTGGTTAAGAAGGCTACTTTCCTGCCTTCTTGCCTTCCCCTTTTGCCTGGATGTTGTTCAGAAAGGACTTTCCCAACTTAGATCCAGGATCAATAAATCAATCTAAATGTCCTTAACTAGACCCAGCTTATTATAATGTCATTGACATGACATTAGCATTGTGGTTTTAGCACCCCTGTGGGTTTCACTGAGGCACTCATGGGTAATAACCAAGAGGGAGTCACTCTGGCCAACCCCAGGAATGTGCCTCCCTAGGAGGGAATTTTACCACTCTAATTTGGGCAAAATCCACAAAAGACTTTCTGGTTTCTGCCACATAAAAGACGCAGAACTCAGCCCCATTTCTGGCAACCTACTTTCAGGCCCCCTCTATTTGCTGAGAGCTTTCCTTTTGCTTAATAAATCCTACTCTACTTACTCTCCAGTGTACACATGCCTCATTCTTCTTAGTTGTGGGACAAGAACTCGGACCTAGCTGAAATAGGGACTAAGCAGACTGCATCAGTGTGTGCAATGAAGTCGCAATTTGAAACTATAAGAAAAACATTATCTTAGGTTCTAGTTTGTCCAATCTGGTACTAATTAGTTAAACAACATTGTCCAGTAGAAGTTTTTGTTGGATTTTATAATTGATTTCTAGTCATATGTTAAACTTTGTACAACACTGCATTTATTAGTTCTTTGCCAGCAAGCTTCCTCTTATAACTACTTCATAGTTCTGAGAAATACTGGAGAAGCCTCCTCTTCATTCCACACCCTCTTAAAAGTGGGGAGGCCGGGTGCAGTGGCTCATGGCTGTAATCTCAGCACTTTGGGAGGCTGAAGTAGACAGGTCATTTGAGCTGAGGAGTTTGAGACCAGCCTGGGCAACATTGTGAAACCTCGTCTCCAATGAAAATACAATAATTGGTCAGATGTGGTGGCACCTGCCTGTAGTCCAAGCTACTCGGGAGGTAAGACATGAGAATCGCTTGAAGCCGGGGGGTAGAGGTTGCAGTGAGCCAAGATGGCACCACTGCACTCTAGTCTGGACGACAGAGAGAGACTCCATCTCAAAAAAAGCGGGGAGGGAGATAAAATATAGTCACCCATGGTCAAACCCTGTGAGTAGTACCTGTTCAGTATTTCCCTATATTTGGGATGACTTGCTTCCCTTATTTATATCCCGCGATCGATGGTAATGGCATTCAATAATGTCTTCTTTCTTATTTGGATACAAACTGGTAGCCTTCTTCTATTTTCTAACTGAATTACTTTAAAAGACAAAGCTTATAACAAATTTCATGACATGGTTAAGATATGGAAATTTTTATTCTCTTTCCTTTAATATAACTTTTATATATTATTCAGTGTGAATTGAATGGCCTAACACCATGTTTTCTTTAGTATGATTTGAATGTTCCATATGCTTAGCACTAAATAAAGCATTGCCACATCACAAAGGGCAAAAAGGTCCCTGGGGACTGCAGAAAGATGATTAATCAACCATTCCTTAGCACACCAACTGTCATGCAGGTACCATCCATGGTACTATGTTTGGCCCTAGCTTTCCCAGGAGTGCTTTGTTTCTTCAACTGATAACATGTGTTACAAAATTCTAATTTTAGATTATAGTTCTGCTCCAAAGATATCCATCTAATTGGGAATCAGGAAGCAGTTATACCTGGGAACTTAAGAAAATGGTAGGGAAAAGCCTCATGATGTTAGGAAGTAGCATGCTTAATCACTTCCTGGTCATCAGTTAGTATTGCCATTAGCAAACATTGCTTTGCAGGCAGGGACATGATATGACATGATACATGGCCTCTCCTGGAGCCAGTAACATGTTCCCTTTGTTGACACCTAATGATTTAAAAATCACATGTTATTCTGACATTCTACCAGTTGTATCTGGAATGTAACTAAAGATTCTATTATTACATTGTTTTGGACAAACCTAAAACACAGATGAAAGGTGGTGTTGTATTGAGATATACACGTTTTATAATATTTGGGTATATAAAACAGAAGTAATCTACAGGAAAAATATTAACCAGAAAACTATTATTCAGGGCTTGCCTGTGGGTTGTAGTAGTATTGCATATAAAGCAAAAATCAGTTGGAGCCAATAAAATGTCTGCTAGCAATGTGGTTTACAATCTCTTCATAGATGCCATGTATCTTAAATTGGGCAATTAATGTGGACATCCAAATTCAGGCAATCCTGTCTTCTTAAAGAAAAAAAAAATCTATGTATCAGGTTCCATGGTGATGGGAGGGAAGGAAACTCTAGAAAGGGGTTAGATATTTCAGCCATTACTCAAAACTGTGTACATTGGCAAATCATAATGAGTCACTGTGCTGATCCAGATTAAGTAAGTGGAAGAGACATCAAATGACAATGGCAGCCATCATTCCTAGCAAAGGAGCATATCATGTTTACTTCATAGCTGAAATCAAAGCTTTCTTAGGAAACACACCCTGAAATTGTCTTCCCTGACTCAGTCTGTCCAAGGGCAAACTGCCCTCCTTGATAACTTTCAACCAGTCAGTTTACTCAGGGGAAAAATAAAACAAAATGAAACAAAACAAGACCCATTTTCACAGATCATTTATGGTTTAAGCCTTTTAAACCTGTCTTTGTTTTTTTTTCAATGAGACAAGCTACACGATTGACCTTCTCTATGTACGAGTAACTTCAACTCTGCTCTGCTATCTCAGATTAATTATGAATTGTTATTTATTTGAAAATATTCACCTCTTACATTCTCTGAGTAATTATTTGAATATATGTATGAGCAATTTTTTAGCAGACCACAATGAGAGAAATATATGTAAACTAAGAAATGAATCTTTTGGAGGTGGAGGTTAGCAGGAACATGGTTGACAAATATTTTATAAGTAATTGCTGTGTGCACTGTGTGTACTGTGTGTGGATTTGGGCAGTTGTCCCTATTGTGACTCATATAAGCAATGATGTGTATCTTCTCATGAAGCTAGGCTATCTGTGCCCACCACATAGGTAGCATGTCTGAAGATGACCAAGGTTAGAACATAGTATATCCAGTGAGTCATCACAGAATTTAAATCAAGGTTGCACATTATTTTTCAGATAAACAATGACACGCATAATTTTCCATATGTATTTCACATGTAATGAGAAGAGTTCATATAAATAGAAAAATATGTTTATGACAGTATGGCCTAGTGGAAAGAGACCCCCTAGAGCAAGTTTTTAAATCCTTGTTAATTTTCAACTTATTGTACGATCTTGGGAAAATAACATTTTTTTTGAACTTCAGTTTCTTCATGTGTAAAAAAGAAAGAGTGACAATTAACCCATAGATTTGTGTTCATAATAGAGCGAAGCTATGTACCTAAAAGATATTGGTACAATCATGCTCAATATATCATAATTTTCATTAGTATATCTTTAAAAATTTTCCCTAGTGTATACTGTTTAAAGTACTTAAAACTCATGTTATTGTTCTGTATTACTTAATTCAAGTTAAGGATTCTATATAAAAAGTACCCTGACAATTTTTTAAATTTTTGTATCTATTATTACATGTGGACATTGGCATACGGTATACTTCTGAGAGTATTTCATTATCTGCTTATTGCCTTATCACTACACAGTCCTTGGAGCCTGACAAATCCTTTCTTTCTATTTATCCAAGTTGCTAATGCTGACATAGCTAATAAAGATCATATTCTGTAGCAATTTGATTAGCAAACATTAGAAAAGAAGGAATAACCAGACTGGATCAGCAAAAATAAATAACTGATCTACACTTGGTTTCAGCTTTTACCTTATATATAATTTGTCAAAGATATCACTAATGTTTCATTTTTGAGGCACTTTTAAATAGTTGAGGATTAAATGTTATGTCTCATTATTCCTTGATGTGATAAGAATTTTATTCCAAAGACCATCTTAGTAACAAGACATATCTATTCAAGTTTGTGTGTGCGTAAGTATATTAATTTTGTATGTCCAATGCATTCTTTATCAGAAGGCTCTTTGTTTTTGAAACATACACTATTAAACAGAATTTACTAGTATTAAAGTTCAATTGGAAATCCATTTAATGTGTTATGCAAAATGTCGTTTATTTGTCACACATTTAATTCACTAAGATAGAAGACTCAATATCTTTTTTTACCTGAAGAGGAGAGAGGTTAGGTGACACAGTGAATTAACTTTAAAGCTGTCTCTTTTCATCTCTAAAGACCTGAAGGTCACATTTACTTATATTGACTTACAAATGGGAAGTATAGTGGTTCCAGAAATCACCCATGTACCACGCAAATTGCCAATCATGGAGATCTATGCTCAGAAGAGTCCCAAAACAGCAACAGAAAATGCTGTAGAGAAAAAATATACTAACTTTTTACAAGGAGGTTTTTTTATAGGAGGCATGATGAGATCTAGCTGTAATTCTTAATGCCCTCCATAATGTTATATAGTGATAAGGCTTAGTAATCCTTTTTCCATTTATTCTTTTCTTTTTAATTTATTGAGAAAACTATGAAATAAGAAAACCCAGTAAGTTAGTCAAGGTCAAGGTCATAGAGTAAATTAGAGCCAGACTGGGAGGGAGCCATTGTGTCTGCTAAATCTCATAGCCGAAGTTGGTAGAATCACTTTAATACTCCTAAAATATCTGCTTTGTTGATTTCTCTATCATACATGCCTACATTTTGTAGGCACATTGTTTCTCTATTGTGCTTTATTTAAATTAGCACTAAATTTTAAAATTCAATTACAGAGTAAAATATTAATAAACCATATAATCATGATGAGTATTTACAAATGCAAGCAAAATAAAAATATACCTTAAGTAGTTTTAAAGTATATAGCTTTAGAAGATATTAAATACAATGATATTGTAGATTATTTCATTCCTTAAACACTGAATCCCTTGTTTCTGTTATTTGTGACTCTGAATATCACAAGGTGTCCTTAAGCAACCTGGCTTACAATGCAATCTCTTTACAGAGCCAGCTCAAGTGTGAGGAGAACTGGGAAGATTACCTTGGGCATCATAATTTAGGAATATTCTCTTCGAAAAATATTTTTTTAAGGCTGACTCAGGAAATTGAGTGGTGAACTAGAGAAGGTGGTGTTAAATCTTCAAGCTCATACAAGCTGTAGCCACCCAACATTTCCTCCTTATCCAAAGCCACACGATAACCCCCATCAGAAGAACAGAGGACACTGTTCCTTCCACACGTTTTGTTCCTCAGGAAATATTTGTTTTAGAATGTACTTATTGCTCTCTTTAAGGTGTTTTCATTTATTCAAACAAGGAGATGAGACAATGTGATTTTTTCTGTTTATCCATCCCTTTCAATTTTTACATATGTTTCTGCCCTTTAATTATGTCAAATGAGAAATTGATAGCTCAAAGTGAATAAGGCCGTCATTGTGCAATGGTGCCCATTTTAACAGAAATTAGCTGCTAGATCCGGTGACTCAAGCCTGTAATCCCAGCACTTCGGGATGCCGAGGAGGGCGGATTGCCTGGGGTCAGAAGTTCGAGACCAGCCTGGCCAACATGGTGAAACTCCATCTCTACTAAAAATACAAAAATTAGCTGGGCATGGTCGTGGGCACCTGTAATCCCAGCTACTCAGGAGGCTGAGGCATGAGAATCGCTTGAGCCCAGGAAGTGGAGGTTGCAGTGAGCCAAGATCATGCCACTGCACTCCAGCCAAGGTGACAGAGCGAGATTCTGTCTCAAAAAAAAAAGCATATGCTCTTCTAAAACGTTACTATATGGCAACGTTAATAACAAAAATAGCTATGAAAAGAAGATATAGAATATTAAAAGATATATTTAATATTCACATTTCCAGTATAATATTATGACTTTATATTTATAAATGGGAAATACATCTATTGTTTTCGTAGTACAAAATAACCTGAATAAAGCTTCTTTCTACATTCTGAGTATGCAGGAATTTCTGATGGGTTGGCCTTTTTTGTTTTAAACTATAAAGACGATAGCTACAAGTTAAGACAGGTTGAGAATGAGATTATATATGATAGGTAGATAGATAGATGATAGACAGATACATAGATATATAATCCTTTAACAGAAGTGTGATGCTTCCATATTTCTTATATTGTGACTTATCTTCCTGTATGTTAATAGAAATTTTCTCACCAGTCTATATGATTATGTCTCAATTTCTTAAAGAGTTTTATTTCAAGCCTACTTTTCCTTAGTTACATTTTTTTTTCTGGCAATTTTATCAAGCATAAACCTATTTTGCTGTAAAGACCCACAGTTAATTCTGTAAATTATTTATTCCAAAAACTCTTCCATTTTTCTCTTCTATCGCTGATTATGTTTTCAAGCTTGACACATTGCATAACCTCACACTTTCAGAGCACGCTTTTGTTTCAAAACTGTTTTAGAATGTTTTTATTGGTTTGTGTTTACTCTTCTTCCTTCTCTATGTGTTCATAAATCTAGATTAAATTATATATAAAAATTCAACTGGTAAAGTTTTTAGTGTATTCTGCTCTAAAATAAGAGTATACTGAAACCCATATCTTAAAAATTTAAATCCCATTACAATAATTTCCCCAACACAAATCCTAATAACACATTTACAACTCTAAAACTCAAAGACATTGGAAACATTCCCATAAAACAAGATACATTTATTTCAAATGTGACTATAACAAAATATCTTAAGACTAGAGCCAAGTATATTTTACTGTGATTCTTCCACTTACAAAACTGAGAGAATGCAAAATCTCTAAATTCCTAAAATCTATTTCATCTAAATTACATTCAGTGTTTATTTGAGCTGTGTTGCTACCCACCAAAGTGATTTATTTTCTTTGAAATGAAAATAAGAAACTTACACAATACAGAGAAGACATTTATTTGACTTTTTTTATTACTAGGAAATAAAAGACAAACCTCTGTAATTAGGTATGCCTTCATTTCTGATCTCTTATTCAATTATACTATAGGCTATCAGAGTAATTCTTTTCTGAGTTTCAGGTTTTAAATTTCAGATTTATTTACATAATTTCTACCTTGCTCGGAAAAACAAATGTATTTTTTTTTAGGTTTAATGAAACACACACACACATACACAAACATACACACATATATATATAATTTCTGAAAAGCTCTTTGCCTTTTAAGCACATTTGTACCATAAAAACTACTTTGCTTAAACTTCCTATTTCTACATACCATGATGCAGAAATCCATACAATTGACTGTAAACTTTTCAGACAATTTCAGATGATCTTCCATTTCTAAAATATGCAAACTAGTACATTGCTAGAGCCTTTTGATTTTATAAAATTTGTTTGTTACAATACATTCATTTAAATTTATTAAATTATTTATTCATTAGAGCTGTCAATTTGTATTATTAATAATTGTTCTTTTTATTTTTCCTTACTATATTAGAGGTGAGAGTTATCCTTTTAAAAAGTTACTTGCTGAATCTTCTAAAAATCTGTGATAATAATTTAAAAGGATGATTATTGGCCATATACAGACTCCATTTTTGTACTTTAATTTCCTTAAAATATTCATAATTAGATAAGTATAATCCTTTTATTAAAATGTTCTTAATTGCTTTGTCCTAATAAAAGTGGCAAACGAATACCTTGAGTCTACTCAATGCCTTGTTTCCTTTGAGTTAGATTACACAGTAAAGAACAGTTTCACCAAATATTTTATGCGCTGTTTTTTTTTAGGACTCTACATTTTCCTCAAACTGGAAACCTCTTACTGAAATACAAATAATTCTGATTTACAATGATATCTACATAGAAGTTACTTTTCTCTTAGTATACATACCTCATTATGTGCTATACACAGCTTTAGAGGAACAATTCATTAATAATAAAATATCAGTGGCCTAAATGATAAATTATTGAGTCTTCTTTTTTTTTTTGATGGAGTCTGGCTCTGTCGCCCAGGCTGGAGTGCAGTGGCGCGATCTCGGCTCACTGCAACCTCCACCTCCTGGGTTCACGCCATTCTCCTGCCTCAGTCTCTCCAGTAGCTGGGACTACAGGCCCCCACCACCACGCCCGGCTAATTTTTTATATTTTTGGTAGAGACAGGGTTTCACCGTGTTAGCCAGGATGGTCTCGATCTCCTGACCTTGTGATCTGCCCCCCTCAGCCTCCCAAAGTGCTGGGATTACAGGCGTGAGCCACCACACCCGGCCAAGACTTCTTACTTTCCAAATTGTAGAACATTGCAGACAGTGACAAGGTAGGCTTAGACACAAACATCCGTTGACATGTCGTTGTATACAAACTGCGTCACAATTAGAGACTTTAAAAGAACATGCAAGGATGTCAGAGCTATGTAGTCATGTAGGATGGATTTTTATGAATCTACTCACCTTTGCAGGTCCAGAGATATTTTTCTAAGATGAAAGACAGTGTTCATTCTTGAATTCCATTTGTATGGCACTATTAGCTAAGGCCCAGTAATTCATTTACTTTTCTCTATTATTTTTTGAACATTCTTCTAATCCAAAATTATGGCTTTTCTGTACTATTCTAAATGAGCTTTGCTAGATGACTGGCTATAGAATTTAATAAACTAAGTAGAGTTCCTAAATTACCTCTTTTAGAGAGCTTGCTTCCATTTTAAGAGAGATCTTCAATGTTCCGTGCCAAAATAGGGACTGCTTTTGTGAATTTTGTGTGGGTGAATAGAATAAGAAATCCATTGAGCTGAGTGAAATTATTGGATTAAAGTAGTTAATCAAATAACAAACCAGAACTTCCATAGGTATACCCCTTCCATTCTACCTTTTTTTCTCACTCTATTTTCTTTTCTTCTTATCACTACCTACAATTATAATTTATGTCAAACCTAGTATAATGTCTACTTGCTTACAATGGAGAATTTTTTTTCTGTTCACAGCTGTAGCCGGAATAATTACAAGGGTTCTTGACATACTACAAACTAAAGTGTTTCAAAGGTTAAATAAATGAATCCTTGGCACAAGAGGACAACAGGGCTCAGACATCCAGATTTCCAAAAAGAACCTTATTTACATATAGTTTATACCAATGTTGAATGTGTTTGCAGTACTACATTTCTAAATCTCATGTTTTATCAAAAATACTATCTCTCCCTTTTCTCTAGGTTTAAAGAGAGCTTTGTTTCTCTTCTGTACAAAACAAAGTTTCAGATTCTGATGACAAGGGTAAGAGATTTAGAGCCAGAAAAATTCACATTTGAGGAGGAGCTTTACTCCTTGTTTCTCATCCAATACTGGGAAGTCTGTTTACCTCCCCAAGAGCCTCAGTTACAATTTCTGTAAAATTGGAAATAGCAATCCTTGCTTAAGCTACACCACAGAATCAAGAGAACGAGAAAAATTTGAAATTGCTTTACAAACACAAGAGACCTATGTCTGTGCCTTTTTTTCCTATCAAATCAACTAATAAAACATTGCTTTGAAACATTATAAAAGAGAGCTTCAATAATAGCATACAACTGATCTGTATTCATAATTAGTATAGCTGGAATATTAAATTTAAAACAACCAAGGTCTTCTCTTATTCTGTATCAACATTTCTACTAATTATTCCACTAACATTTTATACAATTTTGCTAAGTGCTATTGGGAAACACTGAAAAAGATATGGACTTTTCTTGCAAAAAGTTTAAAATCTGACTAGAAAGAGAAAATAGGAAATGAAATAATAGTAAAATAAAGATAAAATTTGTCCTGCACTACATTATTAGATAATGTAGAAAAAAATTGAGACTAGCCATTTTTTTCTCCCCAGAATTTTTCAAGTCCAAATAAATAATAAAGAAAATAACATTATATAATAATTATAATATAATAATAATAAAGAAAATCCCCCCAATAAGGGAATTTTAAATATAAAGAGCTAGTACTGGACTCTAAAGGCAGGTAACACCCAAATTCCATGAATTTTAAATAATTTCAAGCTGGGAGTGGTGGCTTACATCTGTAATCCCAGCACTTTGGAAGGCCAAGCCAGGTGGATCACTTGAGGTCAGGAATTTGAGGCTAGCCTGGCCAACATGGTGAAACACTATCTCTACTAAAAATCAAAACAAAAACAACAACAACAAAAATTAGCTGGGCATGGTAGCACACACACGTAATCACAGCTACTAGGGAGGCTGAGGCAGAATTGCTCGAACCTGGGTGGGTGGAGGTTGCAGTGAGCCAAGATCGCGCCCCTGCATTCCAGCCTGGGTGACAGAGCAAGACTCTGTCTCGAAAAAAAAAAAAAAAAAAAAGAATTACAGAATGCCACTGTATTTATAATAAATGATAGAATTTACTGAAGTCAACTGGGACTTTTTTTTCCTGAAAATGAGGCAAAGGCTATTAAAAGAGGTAGATTAGCTATTAGGTCAAACAAAAATATCATTTGTTTTATGAGAGTGAGAGATAATGATGATGATGACAGTAGTAAATAAAAATTCGAACACCACTTAAGTTTTCTTTGGTGCAATTTAAAGAGTGCTGCGTAGGTTGTCTCAGAGTCACAAACGACTGTACTAGGCCTGAGGGTTTTGGTGACTTAGGACAGTATTTTGTAAAGCTCTTTTCCATTACCTGTATAGAGATTTGACAGAATTGTTAGACCACTATACTAATAAATTAAGATATCGGTAGTTACCTATTATGGAGTGTATTGTGTCACCCCACAATTCACAGGTTGAAGTCCTAAGCCCCAATATGATTATATTTGGAGATATAGCCTCATTTACCTCATTAAGTTTAAACGAGGCCATAAAGTTGAAGCTTTAATCCAATGTGACTGTTGTCCTTATAGGAAGAGGAGGACATGGGTACACAGAGAAAAAGAAATATGAGAATGCAGAGAAAGAGTGGAGTTTTCAAGTCAATGAAAGATTCCTCAGGAGAAACCAAACCTGTTGCTACCTTGATCTTAGATTTCAAGCTTCTGAAATGCGAGAAAATACATTTCTGTTGTTTAAGCCACCCAGTCTGTGGTATTTGGTTATGACAGCCCTAGCAGACTAGTACTAGTACAATGTGATATTAGAAGCTGACATCATCCTCAAAAGCAGATGAAAAAAGGCAGTGAGACCAAGAAGAATGCAGGACAGCTGTGTCCTTAGGCTTGGCCAGCAAGATGGCCCCTCCCTAGGAGCAAAGAAAGCCACTGAAAGATTTCAAAGAGAGAACAGAGAAAAAGGTAGGGTATGAGAGCCAGGATATGATATAATAGAATTTTCAATTTAAAATTCTATTTTTCTGACTGAAGTTTAAGAAATTGATTGAGGAAAGATAAAAGGCATGAGTGGAGTATCATCAGCATATTGCAGGAGACTGATTAAGAAATGCTATCCTGTACTTCTCTGTTAGCATCAGGAGAGAAAAGTGGATAAAATGGAGGGGCATTGAAGACGTAACATCAATAGACCTTGTCAATGAATTGCCCAGGAGTCTTATGGACTAGAAGGTATCAAAATTTAGGACCCTGGCTGTCGATCCACTAAGTTTGAGGCAATGCCATCAGTGCTCTCTTCTTATCCCTTTGGATCACTTTACCCTAGCGTATGTTTACTCCCAACAACCAGCACTTTTATTTTATTTATTTTTATTCATATGGGTAGAGAGTAGGTGTATATAATTATGGGTGTATATATTTCTAGGGGACATGAGATATTTTGATACAGCCATACAATGTGTCATAATCGCATCAGGGTAAATGAGGTATCCTTCACATCACCTCAAGCATTTATCATTTCTTTGTGTTAAAAACATTCCAATTATACTTTTTTAGTTATTTTTAAATGTACAATAAATTTTTGTTGGTGGTAATCACCTTGTGCTATTAAATACTAGATCTTATTCATTGTATCTAATTATTTTTTGTACCTAATAACCATCACAACTTTCTCCTCCCCACTACACTTCCCGGCCTCAAGTAACCATCATTCTGCTTTCTATCTCCATGAGTTCAATTGTTTTAATTTTTAGCTCCTATAAATGAGTGAGAACATGCAAATTTTGCCTTTCTGTGCCTGACTTATTTCACTTACATAATGTCCTCCAGCTCCATCAGTGTCATTGCAAATGACAGGATCTCATTCTGTTTTATGCCTGAATAGTACTCCATTGTGTATTTTTAGCACATTTTCTTTATCCATATATCTGTTGATGGACACTTAGGTTAGTTCCAAAATTTGTCCACTGTGAACTGAGCTTCAATAAACATGGGAGTGCAGATATCTCTTCAATACACTGATTTCTTTTATTTTGGGTACATACCCAGTGGTGAGATTGCTGAATCATATGATAGTTCTCTTGATAGTTTTTTGAGGAACCTCCATACTGTTCTCCATAGTGGCTGTACTAATTTACATTCCCACCAACAGTGTTTAAGCATTCACTTTTCTCTACATCCTTGCCAGCATTCATTATTTCCTATCTTTTGGATAAAAGCCATTTTAAATGGGGTGAGGTGATATCTCATTGTAGTTTTGATTTGCATTTCTCTCATGATCAATGATGTTGAGCACCTTTTCATATGCCTATTTGCCACTGGTATGTCTTAAGAAATGTCTATTCAGATATTTGGCCTATTTTAAAACTGGATTAGTAAATTTTTTTTCCTATTGAGATATTTGAGTTCCTTATATACTCTGCTTATTAATTTCTTGTCAGTTGGATAGTTTGCAAATCGTTTTCCCATTCTCTGGGTTGTCTCTTCACTTTGTTGATTGTTTTCTTTGCTATGCAGAGCTGTTTGACTTAAGTATTTAATTTATTTTTAATTGATTTTTGTATATAATGAGAGATAGGGGTCTAGTTTTATTCTTCTACATATGGCTATTCAGTTTTCCAAGAACCAGTTATTGAAAAATGTGTCCTTTCCACAGTGTATGTTCTTGACACGGTTGTCGAAAATGAGTTCACTAGAGATGCATGAATTTATTTCTGGGTGTCTCTTCTGTTCCATTGGTCTGTTTTTATGCCAGCACCATGCTGTTTTGGTTATAATAGCTCTGTAGTATAATTTGAAGTCAGGTAACATGATTCCTCTAGATTTCTTCTTTTTTATTTTCTTGTCTGAGGGGTACCCTCAGGATAATGGAGGGTCCCTTAAAAGTAATCCACTGCTCATAATTTTCAGATGCAACTTTAAATAACTCCTAAGAAATAAGGCTGACTTAAGCGTAGACTTGCTCAACTGAATGAACACAACAGCTCAACTTTTTCGTAAGCTTTTTAACCTTTCTAGTCATATAGTTCCCTAAGGGTTGTATGACTCTCTTTTTGGAGGTTCAGTGGCTTTTCATTAATTATGTATTACATAATAAACAATGCCATACCAGATACTGTGTGCTTGGATTCATTGTTGGAATAATTCACAGAATATAGCATCCACCATGAGGCCATGATTTGAACTGAGGCCATGAACCTCAGTTCAAAATGTTTGCTTTTTTTTTTTTTTTTTTTTTTTTTTTTTTTTTTTTTTGAGACAGAGTCTTTTTCTGTCACCCAGGCTGGAGTGCAGTGGCACAATCTCAGCTCGCTGCAACCTCTGCCTCCCAGGTTCAAGACATTCTCCTGCCTCAGCTTCCCTAGTAGCTGGGATTACAGACACTCACCTAATTATTGTACTTTTAGTAGAGATGGGGTTTTGCCATGTTGGCCAGGCTGGTCTCAAACTCCCAACTTCAAGTGATCTGTCCGCCTCGGCCTCCCAAAGTGCTGGGATCACAGGTCTGAGCCATGGCACACAGGCAACGTGTTTGTATTTCTTAAATCAATGATGTAACTGGTTGCCAGTCAAAGATCAAATTCTCAGGTATAACCAAGACTAAAAAGAGAATTGCAATGCTATTCTTAATATTTTCTTTCCATCCATTCAACCAGATGACTGGTTGCATATTTATTATTTCTTTATGATGCATGAAAACAGGTATGTTAAAACAGTAATGATGACCAACAACAGAAACATCCAATAAGGCTTTGAACTTCCCTTGTTAAAAAACCATGTTAGCTGTAATTGTATAACCTTATAAGTCTCCTGAAATTACTTTAGCTCTTAGAGCACCTCCCACCGTCCCCCACCCCCCCAACACACACACACATTCTTTTGCACAGGTTGACTCTAAAGGCAGGTGAAAGTAATACCTTTAAAAGATCTTCCTTGTTTGTCCAGTCCTACTACCTCTGCATTCAGCAAAACAAAATGAAAAATAGAGGTAGGAAAGATAAAGGATTTTGTAACCGTATCATCCCCATTCTATTATCCTTGCCTCCAGATCCCAGAATTTTTGCAATATAATATTTTCCAATTCAACAGCACAGAAATCCATCACCTTGCGATGTTGTTATGCCCATCCATGTTTGATTCATATTAGCCACCATTTGCCACAGAGTTTCATAATGATATTGTATATAGATATACAGGTTACATGTGAGCCCATCATTTGTGCCTCTGGATGTAGGAGAAAAGGTTACTGACCTGTATTTTTACATCAATAACAGACGTTACTTTAACTGCTGATTTTGCCTGTTAAGGATCTCAATTCTAAGAATGTTATAGAAATTTTTTATAAATTAGTTAATGATTTTTAGAGAAGTTTTAGGGTTACAGAAAATTGAGCAGGTAGTACAGAGCGTTCTCACATATCCGCACCCCCAGCCCTTTTCCCTTAGTATTAATACCTTGCATTAGTATGGTGCATTTGTTAAAATTGCTGAGCCAGTATTGATACATTCATATTAACCAAAGTTCATAGTTTACATTAGGGCTTACTCTTTATGTTCTACGGTTCTATGATTTTGACAAATGCATAATGTCATGTATCCAGTATTACAGTGTCATCATATAGAATAAGAATAGCTTCACTGCTCCAAAAATACCCTGTGCTTCATCAATTCATCTCTTCCCTTCCACTTCAGGCAACCACTGACCTTTTCACTGTCTCCATAGTCTTGTCTTTTTCAGAATGTCATATGTTGAAATCATACTGTATGTAGCTTTTACAGACTGGCTTCTATCATTAAGCAGTATACATTTCATGTTTCTCCATGCCTGTTCATAGTTTGATAAGTCATTTCTTTTTATCACCAAATAATACAACACTCTCTGGTTGTAACACAATTTGTTTACCCTTTCATCTATTGAAGAACATTTTGACAGCTTCCAGTTTCTGCCTAACCATTTTTACTTACAGCCACTTAATTCCACTTCCAATCAACCTGCTACTATACCACTGGAAGAACAGGTAATTCCCATGGATGTTGTGCTTCTTAGTACATTTTTGCACTCTGGCAGTGAGATATGCTTTCCTCTGGTGGTATCCAGTCTTTGTGGGTGGCAGAAATGTTCCATAATCCATTATTGCACAACCCCTAATGGTTTTCTCAGCTGCAACATTGCTCACAAGGTAAGTGCTACACAAAGTAGAATTACATATTCCGGACTAAGACAAAACTGGGCAAAAGTTCAATTATTTTGCCCTATCCAATACAATGTCTTCACTTCTGCCTATTGTGCAGAATAACCGTAACTTCTTTAACCAAGTTCTAATGTCCACTGGGCAAATGGAGGATTTATCTCATTTCAGATATCTCATACCTCGTATGGAATTTCAGAAAGTTCCATCAGTCAACTGGGCAGCTTTCTTTGATTTAGCACAAAGAGAAACATAACTTTAGGTTTACCTAGAAGGGCTATCAGTTTTTCTGGAAGCTCTATCATCAGTCCACAAGACAGATCTTCACTGTGCTCATGGATGCTACATGTTCTTCCCAACCTTCCAATGTTAGTGTCTTTCTGTACATTCTTCTCATTAGTAAGTTCTGAGGAGCTTCTCTGTTTTTATGGGCATGTCTCTGTTCTTATCAAGGATATATTATTTATTTCATTTTTTGGAATTATTTTTAAGTGTTTTTACTTCTAATCACTATGAAGAAGAAAGTTATAAGGAGCAAATAATGAAATATTTACAAACATTACAGAGATTTTATCTCAATAAATAAAATTTATCTCAAATAAAAGACTCAAGAATAAATAATTTTGCATGTATATCAACTCTCTTATTTGAATTATGTTTACTCTTGATAGTGGAGTACATTTGACTATATATTATAAATATTAATTTGAAATAAAATATATAAGCTATTCACACAGAGATAATTTTGAGTCAGGGCTATTATGGTATATTAAAGTTAAAATTGCAGATAATCCTAATAATTCAACATTTTAGCTATTACACAAAAATGGCTATTAGAAAAAATAAAATGTTTAAATGCTATTCAAGGGCCATTCGACAGATCGTTTTAGAGAAACTTTAAAAAATTGAGGTATAATTTTTATCCATTAAAATGAATAAATGATTTTAAATATATAGTTTTACTTTTGACAATGCGGACACCTGGGTAATCCACACGCCTATCAAGATGTAGGAGTTCCCTCTTGCCTTTTCACATTTGATCCTTTTCGCTAGCAGAGACTACCACTCTTCTGATTTCTACCATGGTGATCTGTTTGCTTGTTTCAAAACATTGTATGCATGCAATTATACAGTAGGTACTATTTTGTGTCTAGCTTCTTTTACTCAGCATAACTGTTTCTAGATTCAACCATGTTTTCAAGTGTATCGGTATTCCATTCCTTCCTGTTTCCAAATAGTATGCCATTATATGAATTTTTCACAAATGTTTCCCTGGTGTCCTGTTGGATTTTCTCCAAGTTTTGTTTCATGTTGGAGAGTAAACCTGGCTCAGTTACCCCATCCTGTTTGGAAGCAGTGGCCTATTTAGCTTTAAGAAAATACTGGTTAAAACGCACAGCATCACGATGGCAATCTTGTGACTTTCAAGTGACACTGTATATCCCAAGCCTATATTGCTCAAAGATGTGTTTGATCATGGGACATAAGACTGACTTAGGCAAGATCCAACTGAACTCAAGAAGCCCTTTATTCATGAGGTCCTTTCAGCTTTCATACCTTTTTGGTTGTTGCTAGTCCGTTAGAGATTATAAAATAAGCAATTTTGAAAACCCAACTATAGTGTACTTGGACGCTTATTTGGAATAGTGGAGCATACATAGCAATGTAAAAAAAAACTTTTAGTTTAGATCTGGTATACTTCTATATATTTCTTGTGTTTGTTGATTTTGAAAGGATTTTAACCAAGGATCAAAGTCTTAGGCATCTGTAAGCCCAGAGACGTGGCCACCATGGGATTGTCACTCGTATCTCCTTTCAAAATATAACCTGCTCTTCAACTGCAAAGAGTTAAGCTAGACTCTATGTGTTAGTTACCGCAGGATCTACTTCAGCATTAAAGAAAATGTAAGAAGTACATGTGTGGTTTTGTTACATGAATATATTGCATAGTGGTGTAGTGTAGGCTTTTAGTGTATCTAGCACATGAATAATATACATTGTACCCATTAAGTAATTTCTCACCCCTCACCCCTCTCCTACCCTCCCACCCTTTCCAACCTCTAATCTCTATCATTCCATTCTCTATGTCCATGCTCTTTTGAGCTGAGCTTCACTCTTCCAGGAAAAGCCCTCACCAATAAGCTAGTGCAGTGGGGGTCGTAAGGACGACCCACTTCTGCCCAATGCCGGACTCTTCTGTTGGGCAATCTGTGCTCTGGAACTTCTTATTGGGCTGTTTAAGATGATCATATCTGCACATGGTTAGAAAGTCTCCTTGTCCCTCCTCTCCCCAAATACCCAATCCCATTTCTTTTACTTCAAGCCCAATTCTATTCACTTTCTATTGTCTGTGGCATGTCCTATCTGTTCAACTTCATAAGGAAGTAAAAGGAGAGTATACATATGAAGCCTGGAATCTTTCTTCCTGATTTAACTGGGTCTTGCAGGAGGCAGGTGAAGCTGACCCAGGAAGAGTTAAAAGTGCAAGAAGTTGATTGGGGAGGAAAGAGGACACCTGTAAAAGAAAAAAAAAAACCATTGAAATAAGCAGGAAATGTCTTTGGAATATGTGTAAATTTAGCACTAACAACTCTGGAAAAAAATGAAAATGAACCTGTGGCATCTAGAAAAATATTAACTGCTCTCTACTTAAAAACCTCACAATTTGATTATTTCTACAAGACATTCTTGTAAGTATATTATTGCAAGATCTTGAAGCTTCATAATGAGGTCTGTATTTTCACCAAAAATTTTACCCTGTATAGTAAACTAAAAATGTTACCTCTGGTTCCACAGAGTCTTCTGTGATGTATTGGTTTAAAAACTAAAGAAGGGCAAAATAGTGCAATTGTTTTTATTAGCTTAGGACCTTTGAAGACATAATGCAAAAGAAACTATTGCAAGTGGCATTGTTACAAGTGGATTTCTCAGCATAATTTTTACTTGAAAGTCCCAGTGAAAGAATTTTAAGGCACTAAAACTCCAAAACAGACTTTTCCTTCATGAAACATTTAATGTAATCCCTCAATCCCAGAAGTTTCTTTATACTTATTAAAATTCTGAATGGAAACTCTGAACTCATTAGCTTTTACCATTTATCCCTTATTTTCTGGGTGAGTACTGTAATCAAAATTAAATTTGCTTTGAAATGCCTTGGTAATGTAATAACACATTGCAAGGGTAAATTCCTCATAGTATACCTCTTCAGAATCTTCAAATCTCCTAGCATTGAATGCATGTCTCAAGTGCCTAATAATTATATGTGGTTTTGTGCTAAATATGATAGAAAGCTGGTTATTCATTCTTCTTCATTCATTTGTTCCTTTATTCATGTATTCAATAAGCATGTATTTAGTGTGTTCATGATGTATCAATTAATTAGTATCTAGAGATATAGTTCTTGACTTTCAATAAGCAATTAAATACCCCTGCTTTTTTTTTCCTTCAGAGCCTAAAATGGTATTAAATTATGTTGCTTTCATAATTTATATAAAATTGTAAATTGAGTGCACACAAAAATCCTGTCATGTTTAATAATCTTTACATATCTGCATAGCCCTGAAAGACATATAAGCCTAATGATGTTGTGTTATATATATATATACACATATATGTGTGTGTGTGTGTGTGTGTGAGTGTATAAAATTTAGTTATATGCAAGTTGTCTTTCTGTGCTTTCCCAGATCTAGGAAATCTTGGCTTGATATTGTCTGGTACCGGTTTAGTGAAGGGCTTACCTTTATGACATCATCAACTATATAGACACCTAAAGCTGCATCCTTGTATCTTCCATTTTTGGTGGGCTTAAAGACTAGCTGAGGTTTTGAGTTAATATGGTTTGTGCAATTTGGGTTTGATGGATGTAGTGTTCTCAGGGGACTGATAAATTTAGAATAACTGGCTGATGGCTAGGGTTTTCATGGTTCACCTGAAAGGAATAAAGAAAGGTGACTGGTTTCCAATTTTCACAAAGCTCCCTGGCGAAGGAAAAAAAATAGTCCTCTCTATTAAGGGAGCTTGAAGTATGAAAATCTCATCAGGAACTCCTTTGTGGTCTTTTTCTATTTTCCCTCTCACGTTGTTTGGTTTTCATATTGGACTTCAAGGCCAATGACTTTTGAATTCAAAAGTCAAAGATTTTCTGCTCTTTTTTTTCCCGTTCATGTCTGGTGCTTTAGGGAAGAGATTAGCATGGAGGTTCTTGGAAATACGCATAGGAATAGAACACGTTTGTTTAAGGAAAGACGATGAATACATACCCCTAAATATCATAATTCCATATTGTTCTAGCAGCTTATTGAAAATTTTTGGCTATAAAAGTTAAAATGATTGATCACCTGATTTTGTAAATAAGCATCACAACTACCAAAAAAAAAAACTCATGTAATTGATTTCATGTTACTCAAAAACATCCAT
This sequence comes from Homo sapiens, assembly GCF_000001405.40. Classification (NCBI taxonomy): domain Eukaryota; kingdom Metazoa; phylum Chordata; class Mammalia; order Primates; family Hominidae; genus Homo; species Homo sapiens. The sequence goes on from NC_000003.12 coordinate 82,492,399, forward strand.
AACTCATGTTTACTTTGAAGTTCATATATTTACATAGATTACAATATTCAGATGTGCTTTCCTGGTGTAATGGTTTAAAAATATAGCTTTTTCGTTTATTTTAAAGTTAGGTCTTGAAAGATGTACATGAATGCCTAGATATTAACAAAAATTATTGTGGAATAACAGAAAGGAAGTAAATGCATAACACATGTATGAAACCAACCTCCAGATCAAGAGATTGAACTGGGCCTGCGTCTTAGAGGACTCTATTGTGCCCCCTTTCTATATTAGTCAGGATTCTACAGGGAAACAATTCAAGTAAGATTTATATGTAAACAGAATTTTGTATGATATTGCCTCACATAATTACGGAGATGGAGAAGACCCATGACCTGCTGCCTACAAGCTGGAGACCCAGGAAAGCTGGGGATGTAGTTCAAAGGCCGAGAGCCAGAAGGCCTGGGTGTAGATTCCAGTCTGAGTCTGACTGCCTGAAAACTAGGAGTACCAAGAGTATGAAAAGATATGTTTCAACTCAAGCAGTCAGGAAGAGAGCCAGCAAATCCAACTTTCCTTCAACTCTTTTGGTTGTATTCAAGTCCTCAATGTATTTGATGTTGCCCATCCACCCACAGTGGAAAAGGCCATCTGCTTTACTCAGTACAGCAGTTCAAATGCTAATCTCTTCCAATGAAAATATTTCTTCCAGAAATACCTTCATAGGCACACTCAGAAACAATGTTTATTCAATATCTGGACATTCAGTTCTCCAGTCATGTTGACCCATGACAGTAACTATTGTGCCTTCCAATGATAGTCACTCTCTTCACAAAAGTAACCCTATCTTGACTCTTGACTAGTTTTACCTGTTTTAGATTATACATACATGAAATTATCTTTTTTGTGTCTGGCTTTGTTACTCAATGTGATGCTTGTTATTTTTATTGATATCATTGTGTGTGGTATGTGGTATTCTATTGTGTGACTGTATATGTTCTGTTTATTATGATCACAGTAGATGAATATTTTCTTAGTTTTCTGCTTGGAGCTATTGCACCCAGTTCTATGAACATTGTTGCACATGTTTTGCCGTCATTTCTGGTGGGTGTACATCAGTGGAATTCCTTCATTTGACGTCCAGTTTAGGTATTATATGACTGTTTTGAATCAGCCCCAAGGTGAAAAATAATCCAAAAGTGTCAGTGTGAAATTTTGCATATGTAACACATACATAGTTAAGGTTTGTGTTCATGTGTTATACATTATAGTCTCTCCCATCTTAACTTTATACTTTTCTTTATTATCCAATCATTAATTCACATATTCAAATTTTAATTCTTACAATGCTTACTGAACATATAATGTGTCTAGTTTTAATGAATGCAAGACAATTCATTAAAATAAGAAATAAAATTAGATGGGCTTCCTAGTAAACCACATTAAATTGGTCACAACCTTTATTTTTCTCTCTGCAAAAACTGCAAAAATATAAAGTAACAGATAGTGTATTTATCTATACAAACTGCGAGAACAAGTGAGGAGGCAAAATAACAAAGGAGATTTTGGTAACATTTAAAAGCAGAAAAGAGATGACTAGCTTTGTGAAACTAGGAAACAGTAATTCCTGTAGAGCTAGATGCTGAGTCTAAGCAAGCCATTTTGCCCACAAAAAGAGGAGCAGTTGGAGACACAAGACACCCTAGAATACTAAGGTCAGATACAGAACTGAAAATGGAGACATTATTTACATGTCTTTATATAGAGCGACAGGAGCCTCATCTCTGGTTTCTCACAATTAAGGGATATTCTTGCCTCCACCTCCACTCTTAGCAGTAATCCAGAAGTTCCTTCTCTGGAAGACTGAATCCACAGATTAGCATTGTGGTCTCCATTTACAACAAAGAGTACAGGTAAGTGTGGGGGCCTAACATCAAGGAGTTGGTGAAAGATGAAAATGATTCACAATCATGTCCTATTTTCTACTCTGCCCTCAAAATGCTGCAATACAGGCATATTAGTTTTCCAATCCCTATTGTTCCTTTTCAAAGCACGATACTGAAGGATTATTTTTCCCTGAAGAAGCAGAAATTCCTGAAAAGGAAGGCATTGTATGATCTGCCACAGATTATGGCACAATCCCCAATAAAACCACAGTGAAGACCATCAGATGACAAGTCCCAGGAAAGTTCACAGAGTTTCCCACTGGACTGTTCATACATAATATCCAATATGACTTGAAAATCAATTTTATTGAAGATAAAATAATAAAAAAGGGCTCAAAATTGTAAATTGAACTGAATCGGGTGGGTTTTTCACACTATGAACACAGGAAAAATTGTCTTGATGTATTGGAAAAATGGCACAAGAAATGCAAAATATAATTTGTAATAGGTCATAGAAATACTAGAGGTTAAGTATTGGCAGTATCTTTAGACACCATATTAGTCTAGTTTCTTTTTTAGTGCCAGGAAACTGAAGTGACTTGTCCAAATTTGAAAAGCCTGGAAGTTGACATAGCTATAGTTTATTTCTTACATAAATTGCATGTATCCCCTAATAGATATTTTCAAAAATGGTGATTATATCTTATAAAAATAATCAAACAGGTACTTCTTTCACTTTCCTCTCCTACTGTACTTTATATAACAGAGGATGAGAATTTTGATAATAAGTGTGAAAATATAGTCTGGTTGTACACTTAGCATAAAACAGTCATGGCAAAGAGGCAGAAATACATTTAAGGAGGACATGAGTAAGAATGAGAACAGAAACAAATTCTCACTGTGAGTCTAATCCAGCACAGAAAAACTCCTTGCATCTCAGGTTAGAGGGAGGCAAGATGAAATTATCACAACTTTACATGTTTTAAGAAGTGTATTGGTAGCAGAAGCCACACTGTGGGAAATCCTAGTAATTCCTGTCTATGACATAAGGTTTCACCACTTCTTGCAGTCATTGTTTTCTGGATTGCTTACTTTGAGGGAGGGGCAGCTTGACACAGAGGACAACAGCACAGATTCTCAAAGCCCTGGGAACAGGTGAAATGATGCTGGCAGCCACAGAAATATGTGTGCGGAATGTTCAGTGGTGCAGTTTCTGCAGTTACTCTGTGTGTTAGCAAAGGAAAATCAGTTAGCTATTCCTTTAGCTGGAAAGAAAAATTGAGAGGACACATGAAAATTGTGGTCTAATCATTTGAAATTTTATTATAAGTCTACAATGGTGACTAAGTAGTTTAGCTAAGATAGACTTGGTAATTTTGCAGTAATAGACTTCAAAATCTCAGTGGAAAAACACAGCAAATACACTTGCTCACACAAATTCTACCATGGATCTGAGAAACTCTCCTCTATTACGACTCAGTGATTCAAGGTGTTCTGTCCTATAGCACCTCCATCTCAACACACCCTTCTGTTATTGCAGTAGAATAGCAGGAAAAGAGAATTCTGATGTGTTTCTTGCTGACAATCAAATGTCATGGATGAGAAGTAACACATGTCACTTCCTATCACAGATGATCGGCCAGATACAGTCAAATAACCACCTGACTTCCAGGAACCAAAAAGTGCCATCCTTCTGTGAGCAAAAAAAGAAAGATCTGAATGCAACTATTGCTCAAAAGCTCTAGTATACCTGGTAAATTATCTATATTGGCTGTAAAAGGAAAGATTTACCAGAAATAATTAATGGAACTTATAGAATCAGTGAAGAAATAAGTAAAATGCATAATATTTTCTTCAAATGATTATATTGTGAAGTTGCTGATATTTTCATGTGCTTAAGGGAAAAAAAGCTCCTGAGACTTTAACAGAGCACAATCTGTGAGAAACAGAGAAAATCAATTAATAAATAGAAATTAATGAAGGAAATGATTCATTTGTTAAATTTCTGAAGCTCCATAATGGATTGCTGTGAGATGTTATAATATCTTAGACCTGAAGTTTTCCAAAAATTGCTCTATAAGACGGTATTTCAGGCCGGTGACAGGGGCTCTCACCTGTACTCCCAGAACTTTGGAAGGCTGAGGCAGGATAATTTCTTGAGCCCAGGAGTTTGAGACAAGCCTGGGCAACAAGGAGAAACTCCTTCTCTGCAAAAATTTTGCCACGTGTAGTGGCATGCACCTGTAGTTCCAACTACTCAGGAGGCTGAGATGGGAGGATCACCTGAGCCTGGGAGGTTGAGGCTGCAGTGAGCTGTTATCACGCCATGGCATTCCAGCCTGGATGACAGAGTGAGACCTGTCTCAGAGAGGGGGAAAAAAAAAAAGACAGTGATGCAAATATTTTTGGGAATAAAAGTCACATATGGATTGCTTAGTTTTTTAAAAAAAATACTGATTCAGTAGGGTCTACCTTCAGGATGGCTAGTGGGTTTATAAGCATGAGCCACTGCACCTGGCCAGATTGTATTTTCATTGTAAGTGTGGGAGCAATGCTTTTTTCCAATGTTCTACATTCTAGGTAGGCTCTTGATGTCTTTGTGAATTTGCTTTTGATCTTCCCTCTCTCTCCTATCCTACACACACAAAATAAGCTGCAGTTCTAGCTTTTTGTTAAACAATATATTAGTTTTTTATTGCTGTATAAGAAATTACATCAAATTTAGCAGCTCCTTTAAGTGTCCGTAGGCTTAACTCAAGGTGTCAGCTGGGGCTGCAATGTCGCAGCTGAGACAATGGGTTCACTTCCAAACTTACTGAGCCCTGGTGAAATTCAGTGACTTGCCACTGTAGGATTGAGGCTCTCAGTTGTGAGAGGCCACCAGCTCCTCCTCGACTCATGGTCGTCTCTATAACATAACAATTTACTTCTTTGAGGCCAAGAAGAGAATCTCTCTCTCATCTGCTGCAAGGGAGTTTTATACAGAGTAATATAATTACCAGAATGATTGTCTCATCACCTTTTCCACGTAATGTTAACTAATCAAAGGAGAGACAGCATCACACTCACAAGTCCCACGCACTCTCCAGAAGAGGGCGTTGTACAGTGCATGAAAAGGGAGCAGGGATCACGGTGTCTTCTTAATTCTGCCTATCACAGTTACTGATTTAGCAAGAGATCAAATAGATAGTAAACTGTGCTAATTCTTTATACTAGAAAAATGATTTTTAAAAAACCTATGTAGTAAACATCTTAAAAATGTATTGAAAAATGTCTTCTAAAATTATTCCAGTAAAAATCAACCTGTAAAAGGCAAGATTTTCTTACTTCATGAGTTTTTGACTTTTTTAATAATGACTTAGAATTTTAATACAAATGAAATGAGAAAATAATGAAAAGATTAAAAAGTCTTGGAAAAGCCAAAAAAGATTTACTAGACACATCAGAGATGTGTCTCTTCCACATAGAGGAAGCAAAATATTGAGTAAACCTTTCCACTTTAAACAGATCTTTTGAGAGAAAACAGTGAAATTTACTAGAGAGGTGACTAAAGATACCATGGTTGAAGAGCAAGAAAGCAAGACTGTCTGGTTGGTGTCACTGGGCTCCAAGACCAGCCCCGAGACCTGGACCAGACCCAAGGAAGGTGTGAGTGAAAAAATCCCAGGGCATCCCATTCCCGTTGCAGACCCCTGACATTCTAGCTACAAGAGTTCTCATGACCCCCACAGACGTCTGAACAGGTAGGTGGAGCTGCCTGAAGACCACACCAAGGCACTGCTTGAACCTGCATGGAGCTCAGATGCTTCGGTGTGCTGGGAAGTTGTAGCAATAGGAAACTCCGGGCGCCCACCCTTTGGGGCTCTACATCGTGCCCTGAGCAGCTGTAGCTTGTGCTGTCTGCTAGGCCGGGAGAGAATGGGGCTGGGACCGGCTAGTGTGCCCAAGATAGGCCCCACCACCATTGCCACAGAACCGAAATGCACTAGAACCACGTGTCCCCGTATCTATGAGTCCCTCCCAAGACTCCAGGTCTGGCGGTTCCCATCACAGCATAGCCTCCTTTGCCCCACCTGAGTGGTTTGCTGGCAGCCTGTGAACAGTCCACGCCCATCACAGCTGGTGCTTGACCTGAGAGGCCCGAGGACAAATCCGCTGGCCTACGACCATTTCTCCAGCACTTGACCACGCCTGCAGGAGGTATAGCAATGTGATTGTGCTTTTATCTCAAACAAAAAATGAGCACCCACTGTCAGAACACAGAGAAGAGTGTGGTACCGGTTTGTGTGGTGGCATAGACCAGGCCAGGGAGGGTATAGCCAGATTGCAGTGGTCTCAAAAATGATAAACGTGACATCACAACTAATACCATGGAAATTAAAAAGAAATCATCAGAGATTATTATGAACATCTGTATACCCACAAACTAGAGAATCTAGAGGACATTGTTACATTATTGGAAATGTACAACCTCCCAAGATTGAACCAGGAAGAAATAAAAATCCTGAACTGACCAATAACAAGTAATGAAATTAAATCTGTAATTGAAAAAAAAAGTTCCAAAAGGAAAAAACAAACAAACAAACAAACAAAAAACAGCCCAGGGCCACACAGATCCATAGCTTAATTTTACCAGACTTAACAAGGAAAAGCTGGTACCAATCTTATTGAAACTATTCCAAGAAACTGAGTAGGAGGGATTCCTCCCTAACTCATTCTATGAAACTGGCATCACTATGATACCAAAGTTAGGCAAGGAAACAACAAAAAACCCAAAACGGGCCAATATCCCTGATGAACAAAGATGCAAACATTCTCAACGAAATACTAGCAAACAATCCAACAGCGCTTCAAAAAGATAATTTATCACAATCAAGTGGGCTTTGTATCAGGAATGCAAGGGTGATTGAACATTTACACATTAATAAGTGTGATTCACCACATGAACCGAATTAACAACAAAAACCATATGATAATCTCAATAGATGCAGCAAATGCATTTGATAAAATCCAACATCGCTTCACAAACTAGGCATTGAAGAAATACATCTCAAAATAATAAGAGCCAACTGTGACAAACCCACAGCCAACATTATACTGAGTGGGGAAAAGTTGAAAGCATTCCCCCTAAGAACTGCAACACAAAACCAGGATGTCCAGTCTCTCCTCTCCTGTTCAACCATAGTAACGGAAGTCCTAGCCAGAGCAGTCAGGCAAAAGAAATTTAAAAAGACACCCAAGTCGGAAAAAAGGAAGTCAAGTCTCTTTTTACTGATGACATGATCTTCTACCTAGAAAGCCCTAAAGATTCCTTCAAAAGGCTCCCAGTCTTGATAAATGATTTCAGTAAAGTTTTAGAATACAATATCAGTGTATAAAAATCAGTACCATTTCTATACATCAATAATGTTCAAGCTGAGAATCAAATCAAAAACTCAATCCTATTTAAATAGCCACAAATATTACCTAGGAATACATTTAGTCAAGGAATATATTTATTTATTTGCTTTGATTACCATTTTAATAAACACATAAAAATTGTACATATTTATGGGGTACAAAATGACATTTTGATACATGTATAGAATGTGTTAAGAACAAATCAGGATAATTAGCATATTCATCACCTCAAACATTTATCATTTCTTTGTGTTGAGAACATCCAAAATCTGCTCTTTTAGCTATCTGAGAATATACAATAAGTTCTTAATTATAGTCTACCACTACACTTTTTGCTTCCACTAATAATGTCCTCTTCTTTTTTTAGACATATCATTAAACCCCTACCAACTATAGCCGTCACCAAGTGGAAGTTTTTCCTCTCTGTTTCCTTCTCTCCATTCTAATAGGATACAACCTTTAGGTTTTCATGCCTCATTTCTAACTTTTTAATTTTATTGTAATAAAGTATTATTATACTTTTAGAACATTATTGAACTTTTTCTGGAATTACGTCTCTTCTGTATTAAAAATCCTTACTTAGCTATTTCAATATATACCAAGTCCCTTTGTCATTATTTCCAACAAATACATGACCAATTTACTAAAAGTAAACACATTTCCAATCATTTTATAATGACCCATTAAATCTACATTTTTTACAGAGTTCAGCACTCACATTTTCTTATCTTTTTATATTTTTCCACATTTAATTTGATACATTTGAATTTTTGGTTAAAACTGTTTCTTTATTATTGATCTTAGAGTTTAGGCTGATATTGCCTTCCATGTATATATGTAAAGATTTGTATTTTATGGTGACAGGTGAATGATATCTTAACTAGACGTAGATTTATTAGGCTCCCTTTTTACAGCATTTGATAAATGATATTTTTATGCTTCTCAAGTTGTTGATTCTTACTCTGCTACAGGTGACTTTCTTTGTCTGGCAATTTACCAGAATCTGCATTTATGTTTTCAAGGTTGTACCTAGAGCTATATTATTTTCAAATCTGCCCTATCATAAACTTGGTGAAACCATCCATTAGAAAGCTCCAACATTTCTTTATTACTTGTTTAATTATTTCATCTTTTTTCTCTTTTTCTTTCTTCCCTCTTGTGGTAATTTCATGACAGTTTGTTGGTACTCTACATTCTGGTCTTCTCTGATACATCTGCTACCATTTACTATTTACTGTTATAATATAGCTCGATGTACATTCAGATTTAATATTTGTATTCAGTGGGAGAGGCAGGCAGAATGTGCTTATTGCGTCAAATGGGTAAACTTGGAAACTTCTTGGAAACTTCTTAGTGATAGAAATGAAAAAGAAAAAAAAAGATTAAACAGCAGATTAAACAAGGATGAAACTGAGCTAGTAAACCTGAAGATAGACATAAAAATTACTTTAAAAGTAACAAAGATAAACATGGAGATAAAAGTTATGCAAGACAAGATCAGAAACATGAAGAATAAAGTATGGCATACATTAAATCAGAATTCCAGAATTAGGTAATAAAGAGAATGAATGAGAGAAAATATTTAAAGAGACTTAGCTGAGAAATGAAACATATTGCTAAAGTTAATAGAACTTCTGCTTATCTAACACCACTCTAAAATATGTAAAGCTGGAGAAGAAAGATAGGTATAACATGTAATAAACAAAGATTTTGTTTTAAAATTGTTAAAGCAATCCCATATATCAATAACAACAACAACAAAAAACAGAGAAAAATGAACAAATGATATGAGGAGGTTTTTCTTTTTGTTTTGTTTTCTGGAAGAGAAAACACTAACGGAGGATAAAAATATATACAAAATATACTGTCTTGGTAATCAAGGAAATGCAAATTAAAACTCTAAGGAAACCTCATTTTACATGTGTTTAAATGTATTAAACACTTATTCTATTGAGCACTCATTAAACACAGGGCATTGTCCTAAGAACTCAAGGGGCTGTAAAGTTGGAAAATGTAAAGCAGATTAACTGCTATGGATAACGGTACAGAAAAATAATTTCTACAGAGACAGAGTAAGAAAATGTTATCCCATTTAATGGTAACATTGTTAACTGTAAATTATTGGAATAATAAAATGAATGTATGAAAAAGGAGATTTTCTATTTAAACGACATATAGAGAAATAGTAAGATACACTAACCTTCCCCAACTGTGAAAATGCAGGGTTAACTCAAATTTTTCATAATTTTTAGTCTTTTGAGATGGAATTAATTATTCTCTTTATTTATCATATTGGACTAGCCCTTATAACCTAAAAATTACTACTATGTATGTCTGCTTCTCTCAAAACATGGTAAAAACATTTAGAACAGCAATTGTTTTTTCATCTTGGATAGCTAGAATCATCACTGTGTATGTCCATAAAAAATTTTGGTTGCATGAATAAAATGTATAAAACCATTTATTCAATGTGATAAAAATGGAATACCAGGCAAAGAAATCTCTATTGTCTTGGATAGACAGTGAAAAATCAATGAAGATGGACTGACATGATCAAAATCATATTTTAAGAAGATTAATTTGCCTGCACTGTACTTGATAGACTGGAGAAAGAAAGAGACTGAGTTACAAGACAATTAATATAGTCCATTATGAGGGAATAAGCATCTCAACAAGGGTGGCAGCACACAGTAAAGATAATGGGACAATTCAGCAGGCAAATTGAATAATAAATGGAGAGGTGTTAAGAGCTCATTGGTAGGTATTGATGGCTAGGAGAAAACAAAAGCAGGAAGGAAGAAGAATATTTGTTCAATGTGAACTTCTCTATAATATTCTGAGAGGATCATTTCAATTGCATGTTATAAGAAGAAATTAATCTAGTAAACCAGTTAAGTAGAAACAAACACCAACACAATAAATTGTGTGTCAATAATATCTAGGGCAGCTCAGAATTAAAACAAGTAAAAAAATGTTGATAGTGCATGAAAATATGCAAATTAGTTGGTGTGGAAATTACTTCCGGAAGATGAATATTGTAAAGGATTATATTAACAAAAGAGTAAATAGAATTAGAAAATAAGAGTAGCAGATGTTATCTTTTGTTTTCTACTTGTCGGAGCCAGCATGTCTTGTGTTCTCAACTTATGCTTTAAATTCCTGTTGTCCACCTTCCACTAATCATCAGGTGTTTGAATTTCATCTCAACACTGGATAGGGAAGCTAGAAAAAAAAAGTGGCACAATGCTCTGGAAGCATTGCTAAATAAGTTCGAAAAATTTGGCCTTTATATTGTCAGATTTTTCACGTATAATTTGCCAATATGATTTGGGATATTTGCAATATGTTTTAAGACTTTAAAGCAGTGGTCCCTAACCTTTTTGGTGCCAGTTTTGTGGAAGAAAATTTTTTTGTGGACTTGGGTTAGGGGGATGGTTTTGGGATGATTCAAACACATTACATTTATTGTGCACTTTATTTCAATTGTCATTACATCATAATATATAATGAAATAATTGTACAACTCACTAATGTAGAATCAGTGGGACAGTCCTGAGCTTGTTTTCCTGCAACTAGATGGTCCCATCTGGGGGTGATGGGAGACAGTGACAGATCATCAGGCATTAGATGCTCATAAGGAATGGGCAACCTAGATTCCTAGATTCCTTGTATGTGCAGTTCACAATAGCGTTCTCACTCCTATGAGAATCTAATGCACCCACTGATCTGACAGGAGGCGGAGCTCAGGCAGTAAATGAGCAAGGGGGAGAGGCTGTAAATACAGATGAAGCTTTGCTGGCTCACCTGCCACTCACCTCCTGCTGTGTTGCCTGGTTGCTAACAGGCTACAAAAATCAGTACCAGTCCCTGGCTCAGTGGTTTGGGACCCCTGCTTTAAAGGATTGAAAAATTATTTCACTTCATTGTCTATCTGTTTATACACGCATAATCTATGCTTCTCACTCTGTTTTATATCTACCTGAATAGCAATATATAAAAACAGACATAAATACATTCAAATTAGACTAAAATATTCCTGAACACTCAGAACTGTATTCTTATTCAAGACCCCAAAATTAATTTCAAAACATGATTTTAAATTTTCTAATATAGATAATACTTACTTTATACTGTAAGAAAGAACTACCATGAGGTATCCCCTGAAATCTAAATATACTTATTTAGCTTGGGTACAGTTTCTCTTTGAAGAGCTTCTCTTTATGTTTACTGTAATGTTGCAGATGTATACTATTTCAAGTTAAAATTTAACACATCATGTGGTGAATTATCATTCTCCACTATACCCTTATCTGCATATATTTAATGGTTCATAATTCACAATATATTTTCATAGATTTTATCAGAAAAATGCTAAAATTATTTAAAGTCAAAATAACCAATTTATATTAAAATATTATAAAATGAAATATCCTTGCCAATCAGTTTCTCTATCTCTAATGTAAGAAAATGAGGTTTGCTTATTACAACTTCAAAAGAAGAGCTAATTGATGATAGGTGCTTATAATAAGACCTCCAGTTCTTTGGAAGAAAACTCACCAGGGTAGTGGTATGTAAATAAATGCTTTTGGTTTTGATGATTTGGGTATAAAATTGATCCTTTAACCAAAATCTGTATTTGTAGTCATCATTGACATGAAAGCTGATTTCTCCATGAAACAGGTTATTGGCACATTCATTTCCAACCAAATCTCTTCTTGTCACTCTTTGAATTGCATTTTTTCCCTTTGCAGAATTATTACAAAACATCTACAACCAAAACATTTCTCTTTTAAATAACAACAAAACCATTCTATGGGACCAAATTCTTTTCAATGCATCTTTTTCAGATGCTCCAAAATTAGTAACATTTTCTGTTATCTGTATAATTATGCTACCAGGTTCCCTAAGGAATTAAGTTTCTGTGTAAATAACTGTATCATGAAACATAATACATACAATGACTATCTAGTTTGCAACAAACAAAAAATATATGACTATGCTCTAACATTACACACACAATTCATATTTATGTTTCAATCCTTCATACATGCTAAAGTCCAAACCTTGCAACCCACTGAAGTCACCAATAGTAACTTTATTAACTATTTTATGGTTAACTATTAACTATTTTTATTTTATTAGACTTGCATCTTTTCTGCTTTCTTTCTATTAAATTAAATAAAAAATTTTACCATTTAATGAGAAATGTTATCTGAGTCTCATATTAGAGATCAGGTGACACAAAATAATAACTTTATTTGGCTCCTGTCCCAAGAAATTTAAAGATTAATCTTCCAACAATTAAAATGTTTGATTCTTACTTCCATAATCCCCATGTTGTACCTTAGTATCTGGACTAGATTCAGTATATTAATTTACATAATCCCACCCTATATATGAAAATAACTGACAATAAAAATTTTGAGAAATATTTACTTATCCAGTTAGAATGAATTGTATAAGGTACCTTATACAATTGGGGTGGCCTGTTGCGAGCAGCCACTGGAGGGACGTCAGCTGCAGTGGGGGAGGCAGGGCCAGGGCTGCATGCTCCACGGAGCTGGCAAGAGCCAGAAACAGGCAGGAGCTCCCCTCTCCCACCCCCACCCCAGCCACCAAGTTGGCGGGGTGGGTGCCCCATGCTCCCAGGCGAAGCTGAAGCCACCCAACTGCAGCTTCAGACTCAGGCATCCCTGTGCCCTCGGGGGCCCAGGAAGGCCCTTCTGTCCTTGCAGGCTCAGAAGCTCATGCTCCCACTCCCTGGCCTCTCCCCACTCCCAGCACCTGCTTCGAATTTGGAGCAAAGTTGTGGCTGAGCCTGGGGAACTGACGTGCTCCGGCCAGGTGTGCACCAGGTGTGCATTGCTTGAGGCGGTGCTGACATGTCAGCCCCTCATTGCCTCGGCCCCTTCTGGACTTCAGGAGCTGATGAGCATAGGAAGGAGGTCCGGGGGTGTTTAGGGCAGCTAGGCGCAGGCCTGCAGGCACCCCTTAGCACGAACACCCTGGCCGCCATGGACGGCGTATTGATGATGGTGGAGGCAGACAGGTTCCTGGGTGGAAAGGGATGGGTACCTGGTAGAGCCCCACCTTCAAGGCAGGGACAGCCTGAAGCCTAGGGGCTGGACTGCAATTTCCTGGTGGAGTCCACTGTTGGAGTGAGAACTTACAGTGCTTTTTCCAGGTCTGCTTATGGCCACCCATGGACCAATCAGCACACACTTCCTCCCCTCTGAGCCCATAAAAACCCTGGATTCAGCCAGACTCACACAGACATTGGGACGACCTGCCTGTGGAAAGGAGCTGCGGATTTGGGTCTCTGAGAGCTGTTCTATCGCTCAGTTAAAGCTTCTGTCTTCCTTGTTCACCCTCCAGTTGTTTGCATACCTCATTCTTCCTGGACACAGGACAAGAACTCAGGACCCGCCAAATGGCAGGACTGAAAGAGCTGTAACACAAACAGGGCGGAACCATGTTCCCCCCCGCCACTCACCACACTGTGGGCAACCAGAAGAGAGGAGCTGTGGCATTCTGGGAGCCGAGAGCTTGGGGCTCCCTCAGCCAGGGCTGTGACACTCTGTAGCACCCTTTTGGGGCTCTGGGGTTCCTGGCATCTCTGAGCTTTCAGGTGCCACCATGTTCCCCTTGTCCAGATGCTGGTGCCCACAGCAGAAGCCTCTTGTAGTACATCTGGTCTAGCCACAGCCTCGCATGGAGCCGGCACCAGTGCCAGTGCCTGGAGCTGCCTGCCCTGCCACAGCCAGCGTGTCTGGCTGTGCGCAGTGGCTGGACCCCATGCTTGCTCGCTCACACACCCTTTGCTGCTCTGCACCTGGCTTGCAGTTGGCAGGCATGGGATCTGGCTGGTAGCATAAGCCAAGTGCATCCTGCCAGGCCGAGTGGGCAAAATGAGACCAGTGGGCCTGAGCAAAACTTGGGCAAAGGTTTAACCAGTCAAAGAGGTTTCCGGCTGGAAAAACGACACCCTAAGGAGAGTGTGACATTTTCTTATGAGATTGAAATTAAGCAAAAACAAAAATGTAACATTCACCAAACACAAAATGTTCATTTGCTTATGCTCATGGTGAAACAAATATGAGAATAATCCTGTTTCAGAAGTTATTTTGTATGACGGGTGGCCACATAAAAAATTAATTTACATTATCAAAACTTTATAGTATTAAGTTAAAATCAAAGAAAAACTTGTATTTTATGTCTTTAATCACATATTACTTTTAATACAATTTTTATTTGAACTTTCAATAAAAAATTGGTTCATAATCACAACCAAAGATCACAAAGATAAATAAAGTATAGCTATTATCAGTATAAAAGGTCTTTGGTTTTTCTACTTATAAAATATTTACCTTAATTTTTTTTTTTTTTTTTGAGATGGAGTCTCGCTCTGTCGCCCAGGCTAGAGTGCAGTGGCACGATACCGGCTCACTGCAAGCTCCGCCTCCTGGGTTCACGCCATTCTCCTGCCTCAGCCTCCTGAGTAGCTGGAACTACAGGTGCCCACCACCATGCCAGGCTAATTTTTTTTTTCTTTGTATTTTTAGTAGAGACGGGGTTTCACTGTGTTAGCCAGGATGGTCTGGATCTCCTGACCTCATGATCCACCTGCCTTGGCCTCCGGAAGTGCTGGGATTACAGACGTGAGCCACCGCACCCGGCCACCATAATTTTTTAAAATTAAAATTAATTGTGGTTTTTGCCATTAAGCATAATTAAAAGTAATGGCAAAAACCACAATTAATTTTGCACCAACCTAATCGTTTTAATTGCCTAAGAACTTAGAGTAAGCTAGAGCTTAAATACCATTTGTAATATCCACTTATTTTTCTGTAAGTTAGATAAAATATCTTAGGGAATTTTAAATAACAATTAAACACTTCATCATTTTGCAATTCTCTATCAGTGCTTCACCATTTTCAGGAAGGTTTATGGTGATTTGTGATGAGGAGGAGCCATTGCTGAAGGTGGAGTATATTCATCCTCTGTGAGCACCAGTGAAAAATAACCATGCGGGAAGGCCCTGCAACACATGGTATAATTAGCTTGGTTAGTTTCTCTGCATGTTCAGATTTTGAAAAATCTACAGTGAATAAAATTGTCCTTTTCAGAAAAACAGCATTATTTTTATGTTAACCATGTAGTTTTATTTTTACGTATCATATTTTTTTTACCTTTTATTTTAAATTTAGTGGTACAAGTGCAGGTTGGCTAGATAGGGACACGTGTGTCCTGGGGGTTTGTTGTACAGATTATTTCATCACCCAGGTATTATGCTTTGTAGTAATTAGTTGTGCTTCCTAATTCTCTCCCTCCTTCCATCCTCCACCCTCCAGTAGTTCCCAGGGTGTATTGTTCCTCTCTATATGTCCATGTGTTCTCATCATTTAGCTCCCACTAATAAGTGAGAATATGTGATATTTGGTTTTCTGTTCCTGTGTTAGTTTGCTTAGAATAATGGCCTCCAAGTCCATCTGTGCTCCTGTAAAGGACATGATATTGTTCTTTTTTTATGCCTGCATAGTGTTCCATGGCGTATATGTACTACATTTTCAAATCCAGTCTATCATTGATGAGCATTTTAGGTGGATTCCGTATCTTTGCTACTGTGAATAGTGCTGCAATGAACTCACATGTCCATGTGTCTTCATAACAGAACAACTTATATTTCCTTGGGATTGCTGGGTCGAATGGTATTTCTGTCTTTAGGTCCACTACACTGTCTTCCATAATGGCTGAACTAGTTTACACTCCCACCAACAGTGTATGTGTTCCTCTTTCTTCACAACCTCACCAGCATCTGTTATTTTCTGACTTTTTCATAAGAGGCATTCTGACTGGTGTTAGATGGTATTTCACTGTGGTTTTGATTTGCAAATGATCAGTGAGGTTGAGCTTCTTTTCATATGATTATTGGCCACATGTATGACTTCTTTTGAAAAGTATTGGTCGGGTGTGGTGGCTCACACCTGTAATCCTAGCTACTTGGGAGTCTGAGGTGAAAGGATTGCTTTAGCCTGGGAAGTAGAGGTTGCAGTGAGCCAAGATGGCACCACTGCACTCTAGTCTGGGCAACAGTGTGAGACATCATCTCAAGAAATACGTAAATAAATAAAAAAGAGAAGTGTCTGTTCATGTCCATTGCCCACTTTTTTGTGGGATTATTTGTTTCTTGTAAATTTGTTTAAGTTCTTTATAGATGCTGGATATTAGACCTTTGTTGGTTTACATAGTTTGCAAAATTTTTTTCTCATTCTGTAGGTTGTCTGTTTACTTTGTTGATAATTTACTTTGCTATGCAGAAGCTCTTTAGTTTAATTAGATCTCATTTGTCAATTTTTGCTTTTGTTGCGATTGCTTTTGTTGCAACTGATGGCAGTGGTGGCCTGTATGGAGCGGCCACTGCGAAGATGCCAGCTGCAGCAGGTAAGGTAGGGCCAGGGGGGCCAGGAACAGGCAGAAGCCCTGCCCCTTTCCAAGTTGGCAGGGCAGGAGCCCCACCATCCAGGCACAGCTGCAGCTGCCCAGTCATGGCTGTGGACCTGGGCGTCTCTATGTTCTTAGGGGCCCGGGAATTCCCCCTGCCTCTGCAGGCTCAGGAATGTCTGCTTCTGCTGCCTGGCCTCTCCCTGTTCCTGGCACCCATTCTGATTTTAAAGCAAATTGAAGCCAAGTCCAGGTGCTCTTGTGATCTGCTCAGGTATGCACACGCTCAGGGCGGCTCTGACAGACTAGCACCCTGCTGCCTCAGCCCCCTCTGGACTTTGAGTGCCGATGTGCATGAGAGGGAGGCTGATAGAGAGGTGAGGGTGGCTCACCATGAACAGACTGCGAGCAGTGGATGACATGTAGATGAAGGCAGGAGGCAGACAGGCTCCTGGTCAGAAGGGGTGGGTCACTGTCCCACCTTCATGCCAGCCACAGCTTGAAGCCTGCGGGCCGGGCTGTCAGTTCTAGGTGGAGTCCACAGCCCACAGTGAGAACTTAAGGCGCTGTTTCCAGGCTCACCCATGGCCCCTATGGACCAATCAGCATGCACTTCCTCCTTTCTGAAGTTCATAAAAACCCTGGACTCAGCCAGACTCACAGAGATACCTGGACAAACTACTTCCAGCTATGAGGTACCCACTCCAGGTCTTCTCTCTGCTGAGGGCTGCACACTCATCTGGACGACTTGCCTGCAGATGGGAGCTACCCACTCCATGTCTCTTGAGAGCTGTACTGTTAATAAAGTATCTCTTCACTTGCTCACCCTCCGTTTGTCCATGTACCTCATTCTTCCCGGACTCAGTACAAGAACTCCGGACCCACCACATGGCAGGACTGAAAGAACTGTAACACGAACAAGGCTGAACATGCCCCGCTGTTCGCCACATTGCAAGCAACAAGTAGGAGAGATAAGCTGCGGCCCTTCAGGAAGCCCAGACCTAAGGGATCCCTGAATCAGGGCTGTGGCACCCTCTTTGGGGCTCTGTGGTTCCTGGCGCTTCCAAGCTTCCAGGTGCCATTGCGTTCCCTGGGCGCACAGTAGAAGCTGCTTGCAGTATGTCTGGTCCAGCCACAGCCTCCTACGGAGCTGGCACATGTGCCGGCACCTGGAGCTGTTCACCTGGCTACAGCAGCTGATAGGCCTGGCTATGTGTAATGGCTGGATCCCGTGCTTGCTCACTTATGCACCCCTCACTGATCTGCGTCAGCAGGTGTGGGATTCTGGCTGGTAGCACAAGCCAAGTGCAGCTTGCCAGGCTGAGTGGGTGGATTGAGCCCAGTAAGCCTGAGCAAACTCGGGCAAAGGCGTCATCAAGCCACAGACGCTTCCAGCTGGAAAAGCAACACCCCAGGGATCCCATGACAACAATGGCATAATATTCTGAGAAATGCCTTTTTTTTTTCAGATTTGCATTACATACAGCTTGTAACACAAGCTCATTTAAGATTTCTTGTGTCCTTTTAAATCCTTCTAATAGGTTTCTAGGCAAATTAATGTTTCTATTATAGTCACATTTTCAGAATACTATAAAAACATATTTAAAAATAAATGTACCAAATATTATTTGACCAATTAAAATGAAATAAATTTAAATGTTGATTTATTCACCTTTTTGTCTTTATGGTTTTAATCTATTGTTTTAAGTATCACACACACACACGAAAACATATACATACATATATATCATGTGTATATCTATATAGCTATAACTACAGATAGCTATATTTGTATCTATGTAAATATGTATAGAGATGATATATGTACAACATAAATATATTCTCTATAAATATATATATAGTGATTGCATACCTTTTTATACACATACACACACATGATGTTACTCTTTAATGTTATAAAATGTATGTTCTCTCTCTGAGTCAAAAGATCAAAAATGTATAAACAATAGCAGATCAATTCCATTTTTCTCCTAGTTGCTGAAGAATGAAGTAGGTGAATTATAATTAGTTTGACACTCTTTATTTTTCTTTCTTTTCTTTTCTTTTTTTTTTTTTTTACAAAGACAACCTTAATAGAAAGATTGGAAGCTTACCAGATGATTTCCAAAAGTAGAAGCAGTATCAAAACTGTGATTTTTTTTGTTTTGGTAGAATAAAGAGCATTTTTTTGGAATCATGGAACTGTTACATATTCACTGGATGGCAGAGTATTAACAAACTCTGGACTTTAGATACTTTATTTATGAAATCAAAACAGCAATAGCATTCAATATAAATAAGCTTCAACACGCTTTAATAATACATTTTAGAAGGAAAGATTAGATAACACAGACCATCCATATAGGGGATATTTAGAAATGATGTGTGAAATATTAGAAATGCCTGCTTGAAAGAAGTGGCAGACTAACTAGGCAATAAATAAGTATACGTATTAGTCTGTTTTTATGCTGCTGATAAAGACATACCCAAGACTGGCAATTAAAAAAAAAAAAGAGGTTTAATTGGACTTACACTTTCACATCATCAGGGAAGCCTCACAATCACGGCAGAAGGTGAGGAGGAGCAAGTCATGTCTTACATAATTGGCATCAGGCAAAGAGAGAGAGCTTGTACAGGAAAACTCTCATTTTTAAAACCATCAGAGACTTATTCACTATCATGAGAATAGCACGGGAAAGACTCACCTCCATAAAATTATCTCCCACCCGGTTCTTCCCACAACAAGTAGGAATTATGGGAGCTACAAGACGAGATTTGGGTGGGTACACAAAGCCAAACCATATCACTATAGGTCCACAAAAATCCAAGTTTATTAATTGAGATTGGGGCCTTTTGCCTTTTGAGAACTGCTGATCTTAAAGACATGGATTAGAGATTGTGCAATGCTTTTGACAACCTTGAGAGTCTAGAGTGGCGCAAATTAAAATTCAGGAAATGGCATAGTGAACTCTCATCCCTTTGCAATGGAAGTCTAAGAATCTACATCTGAGCAATAAGGGGGAATTGAAAAAAAGAAAAAGAAACTCAGATGGACTAGAGTCCATTTAAGTCATTGCAATGTTGCAGATAATTTTTTTTTATAGTTATCACTCTTTTTTTATTATACTTTAAGTTCTGGGATTCATAGGCAGAACATGCAGTTTTGTTACATAGGCATACATGTGCCATGGTGGTTTGCTGCACCCATCAACACGTCATCTACATTAGTTATTTCTCCTAATGCTGTCCTTCCCCTAGCCCCCAAACCCCTGACAGGCCCCAGTGTTTGATGTTCACTTCCCTGTGTCCATGTGTTCTCATTGTTCAACTCCCACTTATGAGTGAGAACATGTAATGTTTGGTTTTCTGTTCCTGTGTTAGTTTGCTGAGAATGATGGTTTCCAGCTTCATCCATGTCCCTGAAAAGGACATGAACTCATCCTTTTTTTATGGTTGGATAGTATTTCATGGCGTATATGTGCCACATTTTCTTTATTCAGTCTACCTTTGATGGACATTTGGGTTGGTGCTAAGTCTTTGCTATTGTGAAGAGTGCTGCAATAAACATGCGTGTGCATATGTCTCTATAGTAGAATGATTTATAATCCTTTGGGTATATACCCAGTAACGGGATTGCTAAAACTTACATTTTTTTTTTTTTTTTTGAGATGGAGTCTTGCTCTGTCATCCAGGCTGAAGTGCAGTGGCGTGATCTCACTGCAATCTCCACCTCCCAGGTTCAAGCAATTCTCTTGCCTCAGCCTCCGGAGTACCTGGGATCACAGGCTCCCACCACCAAGCCCAGCTAATTTTTTGTATTTTTAGTAGAGACAGGATTTCCCCATGTTGGCCAGCCTAACCCAGATAACTTCAACCCCTGACAGAGAGATTGTCCTGTTACTGACTTTTAGCATTTGTCAGAGCAAATGGTAATCTTCCCTAAAGCAAGATAACATCATATCAGAACTCGAATTATTTCTACAATTTCATTAAGTACAGTATCTGTCTCACAATCAATGGGTTCAGATACTAGAATTATCAGACAACTAGCTTCTAAGTAACTATGCTTTTTTAATTCAAGAGGTAAAGACAATATTAAATACTTCAATCAAGGATTGAAAACCATAAAAATGTAACAGTAGTTTTGCAAAAGCACTAAATAGAAATTCTAGATCTTAATATATATTAATTACAATCAAGACATCTATGGGTGTGGAATACAGATATAAATTCAAGTAAAATGAGCAAAGGACAATTAAAAATTATTTATACATTTTGACATAAAGATAGAGTTCTCAATTACTAATGGGAAATAAAAAAGCACAGTTGAATTTTAAAACTGACTGTTAATTGAAATATAATATATAAACACTTGTGATGAAGGTAAAACAGAGCATGGAATGGTATTTGTAGCCTTACATGTATTAGAAAAATTTCAAAATATGAAATCATTAGCTATTTATATATATACACACATACATGAAAAATAGTAATAATAATGATAGCTTTCTGACTGGCAAAATCTGCAGATACCACCAGAACTTTTTTTTATAGGGGAAGAACATCACTCATAGCTGGGATATGATGAGGACACTAGCAGAGAAAGTCAAGAAGTAGAACCACACAACCAGGCGTGAATATCTCATCACTACTGTGTGTGCCCTCAAGATATTCCTATGTTGTCCCTGTTTCCTCCAAGAGATGGGCCAGTAAGACAGAGGAGAGTAAGAAAGAGTCCTTCAAATGGAGTGAAAACCCAGAAAGGGAGCTTTTAATTATGACCTAATGTTAATTCTTGAATTTTCTTACAGAGCTTGTCCAAATTGTACTGATAATTAAACCAGAAAAAAAAACAAATAATTAAATTAAAATTAATTGTCTCTCTATCATTGCCCAAAGAAATGAGTACACCTAAAATATTTATTTATGTCATAAAACTATTGATATTTGTGTACATCTAAGCTATAGTTATCAGATTTGTACCATTAACAGAATATTCATATAATATACTGAGATTAAAAATGTGAAAATGTTGTTTCTGCTTTGGACAATTTGTGACCCATCTCCGTCACTCTGGCTTTATCAAACTAATAACCTGTCAATCTAAATTCTTCATGACAATGAGCACTTTTCTCCCTTCCAATTAGGTAAGTGAGTCTTTAGCTAAGATCTTAGATGTAGGAAATGAATCAAGATCAATACATAACTATGTGCTGCTGTGAGAGAATATAGATTTTTAGTATAATATGAAGAGTTTTGGAGAAAGATTCATATATTTGAATAGATGATGAGAAAAATGTAGAAAACATGACAGAGAATAGTTTAAAGTATGAGAATGTAGAGAAAAAGAGAAAGAAAATAAATGTCTCATGATTAGTGAGGACCTCAAAGCATACAGGAGCCACATCTTATAACTTTTATAATAGAAGCACAGCCATGCTTTGCTGTAGACAGTTTTTAAAAAGGAATGATAACTTTAAGCTGTCAGGAAAATTCCGTAAAACAATGTTTTTTATTACAATACAATAGTCACCTACCTTGGAAAAGTTTTTAAAACTCAGGCTTCTTGTATCCTTAATAGGCCATTGGAGGGCAAAACATTATAATTCTCTTGAGCAGCAAGTATGATATTATGATTTTACTCTGCTAAAAATAGAAAATCTTTACACGTCTATTGGCAATGGTTTTCCGCAAATGTCAGCATTAGGCTTTGTTTTTTAACTTTATCAATAATATCAATAATACTCTACTTGATTTCAGTCACTCTGAGGAATCCAAATATACACTGTATTCTCCAGGGCCTCTGGCCCTGAAGAGAAGACAGCAGCTCTAAATAAGGAATAAGCATAAAGGTTAAAGAGACTTTAGGAGAACTTGTAGTAGAAATGAGATTTTCAAAAATTGTATGTGTTAAATTTGACCAAAATAACCTTAGTATCCTTTAAATATATACATAAAGCTCCCAAATCATGTTTATATCATAGTGACATACATGCATCTGTGATTGATGGCTGGTAAGAATATTAAGCATATTCTGACATATCCTATAGATAAGATCTCTGAGCTACTTTATACAACCACATCCACCTCCTTTCACCATCAATACTAAAAATTGTTCACTGTTGTAGATGAAAATCGAATATCGTTTTTAAATTTTTAGCGGTTAATAGATATTCCATGATAAAAGGGATTATAGTCAACAAGTTTGAGAAGTGTTAGTTTAAAAATTAAACAAGTTTATATATTTCAGCACTTTTCATGAAATATACTATTTTAATGAGGATCAGAGAATTTATGGGCAGAAATAGACTAAAATCTGACTATGGGGTTTTATAGGATATACTATGGTTTTGTCACTATTCTAGGAGAAATAGAAAGGCTTTGACAGATTAGAAATGAATTTGTAAATAACTTGGGGATGAAAGGATGACTCTGGAATTAGTGTAGGAAATGGATGTAGATGTGGAAGGAAGAAAGGAAGGAGACTCTAAGAAGGTATACCAGTTGTTGAGGTGCAATGAAATATATTTGGCCTAGAGCAGGGATGTCCAATCATTTGGCTTTCCTAGGCCACTTTGGAAGAAGAATTGTCTTGGGCCACACATAAAATACACTAACACTAATGGTAGCTAAATGATGGGCTAAAAAAAATTGCAAAAAAAAATCGCAAAAAAAAATCTCATAATGTTTTAAGAAAGTTTACAAATTTGTGTTGGGCCACATTCAAAGCCATCCTGGGCCACATGCTGCCCATGGGCCGTGGGTTGGACAAGCTTGGCCTACAGTAATGGCTATGGAAATGTAGAGAGAGACATATGTAAGTTCCAGTGTTCCAGGCAGTTTTTTTTTTTTAACTGATATAGGTATCCAACAAAAAATTATTTGGTACCTACTATGGAAATAGAGCTTTTCTAGTCAGAGAAGATGTATCATTGAACAAACAAGACATTCCTAGGTATGAAATTTGCTATCTCCAGAATCTGAGGAGGCCCACCAGGAATTGTGCTTCCTTCTTTGTGGCAGGCAGTGTAAGGTATAATAATTTGTCTTTCTTTTACTTTGAACATTATTTCTTTGCATGTCCCTGAACACCAGATCTTTAAAAATTTTATGAATACAACAGATTCCCGTTTTTCATATGATTAATCTCCCAGTCTCTAGAGTATGTGTCCTACCAAGGGCTCCAGTCTGTCCAAGTCTTGCTCATCCTACCCAATCAATAAAATGCCATCGATGTAAAATCAATTTGATGTTCTCCAAGATATTCAGACAGCCCAAATCACTTTGTTCTATATTATAACAGAGTGTAGGAGATTAGCATAGCTTTAGAGAAAATGTGGAAATGCATATTGTTGTCTGCTCCACATGAATCTTCAGTTATCTACTTCGTACTCTTCTGATAATGATGGAAAAGGGTTCAGTGGGAAAATTGTTGGCTGCATACTATGTGTTTGAAGATTTTTAAAAATTCGTTATGGCAAAAGTACAATGGCTGGAATCAGGTCTACAATTGGTTGAGTTTGTAATAGTCTATAATCATCCTCCAGGGTACATCTCATTTCTGTAAGGGTCACAATAGTCAATCAAAGGGACATATGACAGATACTACTACTCGTAAATCCTTTGGATTCTTAAGGGTGGAACTAACTTCTACCAATGTCTATTGACCAGGATGTAATATTGGTTTTGATTTACTATCATGGGTTAATGTGAGTAATTACAAAAGCTTCTACTTGACTTTACCCATTATAATAGCCTTTGCCCTACAGACTAAGAATCCAATTTTGGACTTGTGCCAATTGCCAATTATGTCAGTCCCTGTTATGTATCTATCCCCACAGCCTCATATACCCCTACCCTAAATGTGCTATGATAATGCTCTAGGACTCTGGCTAATAATGTCTTCTCAGATCCAGTGTCCATCAATTCTCATAATGTCTGGGTATTCACAGACTGGGTATCCCAGTGCTCAGTAGTCTGTAAATGGCCACATGTCCCTTTTAGGGAATTGGTGGGAGAGCCATTAGCTTGTACACTTGACACATTTTCATAGCATGAGTCCTTCTAAGTACCCAGCCAGCTCCTCGGTTGATGGATTACAGGGTGGTCAAATGGCTATGTTGTGGAAACCACACACAAAAGGCAAAACTTTTAATTGGGAGAACAGCCCTCATCCACCAAGTCACTCATCCTTGACTTTTTCCTACTCACTGCTACCCTTATCATCTGACCTCAAAGAACACTGTATTTATCAAGCATCTCTGTAGCTCTCTCTGGGTCAGAACTTTCTGGTTGGCATTTTGACTTTGGAGGTTGTTGAAATAATTGTGATCTCCTCCCTCTGCTCCAACTTCTGAAAGTTAAATGCATCCACTTGTACTGTGTTTCAGGATTCTATCTTCACCATGCTATCTTTAAGCTAATTCTGTAACAGGGTCTAGTATTAACTTGGGTGACCAAATATCTGGGTTTTTCCAGAACTGAGGGGTTTCCTGGGATGTGGAGCTTATGTTGCTAAAACTAGGGTCACTGTCCATCCAATATAGTCCAGTTCTCCTCTGGGCTACAGAGAAGAACAATTACTAAGCTGTTTAATTGATCCTTGTGCCTCTTTACCAGAACTTTTCTCATTAACTGGGTAAATGATGTAGCCTCTGGGTATTCCTGTGGGTCATAATTATGTAATATGTCTCTGGACATACATAATGCACACCTTCAATATGCCTGTTTTCCTGAAGTTTTTAATTTGTATTAGTTCATTTTCACACTGCTGATAAATACATACCAGGCTGGGAAGAAAAAGAGGTTTAATTGGACTTACATTTCCACATGGGCTAGGGAGGCCTCAAAATCATGGCAGGAGGTGAAGGCACTTCTTACGTGGTGGTGGCAAGAGAAAAAGAAAAAAGCAAAAGCAGAAATTGCTGATAAACTCATCAGATCTTGTGAGACTTATTCACTATATCAAGAATAGCATGGGAAAGACCGGCCCCCATGATTCAATTATGTCCCACTAGGTCCCTCACACAACATGTGGGAATTCTGCGAGATACAATTCAAGTCGAGATTTGGGTGGGGACACAGCCAAACCATATCATAATTCCATCCTTTGTTGTTTGTCATGGCAATTCTGGCATTTCAATTCACTCAGTGAAATTTACTATCACTTTTCCCATGCATTTAGGAGCCACCTCAGTAATGAATTAACATCACTTCCTGGTAGCTTTGCCATGATGTTAAGTCTTGTCTCTTGGAAGAGTGCTCCAAATTAAAAAAAAAAGAAAAAGTCCTATCAATTTTATGGGTGCCATTCTCTTTCCTTTGCTCTCCTGCTAAAGGTGATGGTTTCCTTGCATGCAACCAAAGATGGCCCTGGCTTACACACCCATTTCAGTTGCCCATTACTCAGCCTCAGTTCCATATTGTCTTTTGGTAGGAAACCACATAACAATAGCCATCCAGTTTCTTATTCTTATAACCACTATATCCTACATGTCAAATGCGTAACGTATCACGTGAGCTAGCGAACTCTATCCTGCAGGAATAGTCTCCCAATTAATCACTGCTGATAGTTTTAACAATTGGACTGCCACACTGTGCCAGCAGCTGCCTGTGCTCCATCTATCACTAGTTCTAGTGCTTTCACTGCTAGTCAGGTGGTGAGGCGTCCAGCCCTGAACTCTCATCTTATCACCTACTTTCTTGGGTCACTTCCAATATCAACTATTGCAAGTTGAGTTCTCTGGAAGCAGATCCTGAGGTGGTATTTAAGGTGTAAAATGATTATTAGAGATTAATACCCATGGAAAGAAGAGAAAATCAATGGTATTGGAGAGAGGAAGATGTCAAGCTGCAACTGAAGTCCAGCAAAACCTTGATTCATCTGATGGGGAGCCCATAAGATTGTCCTGCATCAAACCAAAATATCTGCACCATATACCACTCTTCTCTTACTCACTAGGTATGGGCAATAATAGATGATGAGGTCTCTGCAGCTGAGGCATTCCCTCCCTGAAGGACCTCACAGCTGGAGGGTGTGTGCTTCCTTCTCCCCTCAACTGTGCAACAGTCTTGTCTTGAAAAGAAACCTGGAGGTGGATCTCCTTCTCTACCACAACCTCATTTTCTGATGTCATGCTACAAGAGGCAAAGAAAGCACACACTTGTAAAGATTATTTTTTTTGCCCTGTTACTACTTGAACCTATATTCTGAGTAAAAATATTTATAAAATTTAAATGTATCTGATCATTTTAATAGTAATAGTAATTATACATAAAATTAACACTCTCATTATAATGATATACATAAGCTGTACATAAAGAAAGAGTATTGAGGAGTTCGTGACCGGCCTGACCAATATGGTGAAACCCTGTGCCTACTAAAAACACAAAAATTAGCCAGGTGTGGTGGCCTGTGCCTGTAGTACCAGTTACTTGGGAGGCTGAGACAGGAGAATTGCTTGAACCCATGAGGTGGAGGTTGCAGTGAGCCCAGATTGCGCCACCGCACTCCAACCTGGGCCATAGAGCAAGACTTGGTCTAAAAAAAAAAAAAAAGGTATTGAATGAAAGCTTGGCCTAATTGAACTGGATCGTAATAAAAGAATAGGCTAATTAGGATGGAGTTCAGCTGCCTGTAAAAGAAACCTGACAAAAAAGGCAAATGGCACAAATGGATAATTAGTTTTGTCTTTTTCATGTTAAAAGGAGTTGGAAGGTAAGTATTAACAGGATGGGAGTTGTTGCTCAAAGTCCTAGACTCCTCTTATCTTCCTTCTCCACTATACTTAGCCTGCATCTTTTATCCTTATGGTTATAAGATGGTAGCTACACTATAGGTATTGAACCTCTGTATCAGAAACAAAGAAGGGAAAAGGGTAAATGGCAAAGGTGGTTGATAAATTTTTTCTTTTTATCAGGAAAAATAGCCTTCCCAGAAGCCTTGTGCTTACATCTCAATGTTTAGAACTACATCATGTGGCCACCACTACCTGCAAGGATGCCTGTAGGTGTAGTTTTCTACCTGAGCATATTGGTACCCAAAACAATGTCAGGGTTCTTTTATTAAGGAAGAGCAGTGTGCAACCAGCAGTGTTTGCCACAGGGTATGTTTAATTTTTTAAATGGCTACCCACTCTCTTAATACTATTAATATTGTGAAAAACAGACTTTATAGATAAATTTAATATTTTTAGGATTGTATATAGTATTATATACTATGTTCACTTGCTTTTATTTATGGAAAGGGGCCAGTTTTAACAAATCACTTTGCCCTGAAACTATCTTACATATAGTTAGCTAATTAAAGTCACAGGCACCTGAGATAGTCCTTCCAAATTTAAAGTCATACTTCCAGGATAAAGAAGAAAATAAATGAACATTTTTTGCAGTTATCTATCATAAAAGCATGAACAACTTTTAGTCCAGATGCTTTTAAGATGTACTTTAAAATCCCCTTGCCACTTAGCATATAGCAAAAATAGATATATTATTTAATAAGAAAAAAGATAAGACCATACTCTAATATAAGATACAAATCCTAGCAGATCAGAAATAAAACAGAAACTCAAGGTAGGGCTAATGCCTGAGGCCAGCTGGACTGCAAGACCTGAGGCAGAAAAGAGTGGCCAGGAGGTCATTTTCTGTGGCATAATTGGGAATTAAGATGCCCCTCTTGAGATCATGGTGACTAAAGTCAGTTTCACTGTATGAAACAGCAGGCTAGAGCATGGAACTTCGTGCATGTAAGACGGATGAAAATAGCTGAGGGCAATTATTGCTTGGGGCTGCAATTTCTTTCAAGATGTCTACTTAGGGTCTCAAGAGGAAGCAGGCAGAATCTCAAAGCCAGAAGTTTAACCAAGTTGCCTGCATGCTTAGTGAATCATCTGTAATATCCTCATTATAACAATGGGTAGAGGTGCTGAACATCTGTTTCTACTGGGGAGTTCCACAAGCTACTATGAAAGCAACAAGAAAACCACTGGACAGAGATAGGTTAAGCGCAGAGTTTCCCTACAACCCCACCCCCTCCTACAGCCATTCCTTTACTTGCTTGAAACTCAGTTCTATTTCCCTTTGTCTCTTTTCACTTTTCTGAATCCCACATTTTGAAAAATGCTGACATCAAAAGTTCTAATTACCTAATAGAAGCAAATTATTATTTCTTAGAGAGATTCTCTGTCTTTTAAAATTTTTAATAATATGGTGCCATGTCTGCCACCATTTTCTTTTAAATACATGCCCTCCTTGCATGATACGAAATCAGTTGAAATCTGTGGTAGAGTATCAAACTATTCATTCGAGCTGAAATATAGTTTATTAAATTATAATTATTTAAAAAGTATGTTGATAAATAGACTGTTTTCATATTTAGCAGTGAGATGCATAACTGATTTAACGTGAGAGAAGAAAGAATTAAACGAGGTAGGATTTCAACATCACCTGAGGCAGAAGATGCAGTAAATTTGCTGTAGAGATTAACATGGGTGGTTGAGCTGAGAGAGAAACTTCTCTTTGATATGAATGAATTCTCCAAATACTATCTTTCCAAGGGTCCAACCTGGAAGTCCTGAAATCATCTTTCTCTGACTTTGCTGAAAAAGTTTAGCATGTGCCAAATACATATACACATATATAATATCTTTCTATGAAAGAAAACTACATGATTTCCTGATCCAAATACCACCATTTTCTAACTAGACCTAACTTATTCAGCCTTACTTTTTTTTTGTATTTTCAATAACTCTGAGTCATATTGATACTTCCTCTGAATTATTCTGTCGTGAAACAAATAACTAATGCCTAAGATTTAAAGAATTATGTTTAGTCAGTCAAATAAATGCTTCTATAATTTTGACACAAGAAAGGAAACCAATTTTACTTTTATCTGGCCACCAAAATGAACTTCAGCTTAAAAGCACAGATTATTTATTTTGCTTTTTCTCCATAGCATATGTAGTCACAACATAGTAAGAGATAAGATATATTATTTTATATGCATAAACATATGGTTAAATTTGACCAAGAGGAGTGGGAATGAAAGCTAAACACATGTGCACGTGTGGATACACACACATATTCAGGCACACACAATAAATATTTAGCATTTAAGAAATTTTGGTAGATGAAATACTCCAGTTCTGTTGTTTTCAGAGGAAGAGATAGCTCCTAGAAAGCACTTTAACAGTCACTGTGTTTAGATTTGATCAGAGATGAAATAGATTTTACTGTCACTTATTCAACAGAATTGCAAGGTGATCCATTGACAAGTTGGTAGAGAAAACTTGAGTTGCATCGAATGCTATAATAGACTTTTTTTCTAAGCAGTTTCAACACTGGACACATTTTTAGAGTTTATAAAGTTTATTTTGTTCGCTATCCTTTCTCCTTATCAATACCTCTCTCTCAGATTACTTCCCCTTTGCTTACCTAACTCTGAACTCTTTAATCACCTTCCCCAACTCATGAGAATTATATCATATTCTATTGTTTTACAGCATAGTGCATAAACTGTTGGCTCTATTTCTTAGATGTTTTGCCTAGTGCAACCATTATCAATACTTAAATCTACATTTGCAGCTTTTCTCAGAAGCAATTTGAAACTGTAGCACTGTTAACTTTGTCTTTTGGCATGACAGTAATTGGTAAGGGCTGAATAGAAGCTACCCCTCTAGAAAGGTTAGATGGTCCCCAGTTCTCAGAAGCTCTTCCAGCCTCTTTTGTATTATGCTTGGATTTAGGTTGTTTCTCTCATTTACATTAACAGCATGGCCCTGTAGCTTTCAAGTTTGTGACCCCTATTATATAACTTTCTCTCTCAACTGTCAACTAAGCCCAATTAACATGTTTATTGATAAGACAATATCTCCCACTGGTACATATTAATAAGAAATTCATGTTAGCCTTCAACACTTAAACTTTTCAAAATCTTTCTTTTAAAAAAGAAAGTGGTTAAGGGAGTATCTGTTTATGTAATGATTATCTCTAGACAGAGTCTATTCTGAAAAACTCATAAACATGGAATGCCAATCCTAATGTCACCATTTAGCCATGTCTTCTTGTCACACCTTTTTGAACTTTTATGTCCACACCTGTAAATATAAGAAAATCAGATCCACACACCTCTTTTCCCTACTTCACTACCTCTATTTCTACCATGATTTCTCTTTATCTCATACTTTTTAAAGCTCAGATATGTTATTTCCTTCTGGAGGACATGTCCAGCCTCCTACTTATTTAGACAGAGCTCTTCCATAATTGCAAATGTTTTATGCATTCAGGTATTATAACCCCTATCACACTGAGTTATACTTTTTCTGTTTTCATATATAATGGGGATGAACTTCAGTCAATAAAATGTAAAAAGTATCTTGTTCATTTTTTAAAATGTATTCTTTATACTGGATTATCTATTTTAAGGTTTAAATTTTCCACTCAAGGGAAAATCCAACTCTAGACCTGTTAAGAAGGAACTTCTTCCTCTCCAGAGTTAGAAGATTCTCATGAGATTAAACACATCCAATGACAAGCCCTTTTCTTAGTGAATAGTGGTCACTCCTGATATTCTCATTGAGAGAGGTTTTGCTGACTCTGTCAAGCTTGGGAAGTCATGACTTGGCTGAGGCTGGAAGCCTGACAACTGAAATTCGGTCTCTCTTACCAGCTCATTCAGCCTTTATTACCTGATACCTTACATGGCTCACATCCCACCAATTACTGAAGCCACGAAGCCACTGCCTCTCTCTTGCCTCAAAAACATCACTCAGAACATTTTTTTTTTCTTCAAATTGGAACACTTCCACCACTTCTATACTTTGACATTTTTGTCTTCAAGGATTTCAAGAATTCCATCCACTCCAGGACTCCGGTAGGGATAAAATTTTAGGTCTCTCTCAATTTTTCCACCTGTTCCACAAATGTTTGTTAACAATCCTAGAAGGGAGGTAAAACAAAAACAAAAAAGCTTTTTAGCAATCTTCTTAGGAAAACAAGCAGAATTTTAAGATAATCCTCACAATTCCTGCTCTTTTTTTTGGGACACCTTGTATAATTTCCTGTGCTTGAGTATATGTGTGTGGGTGGGCGGGAGCTAACCTAATCAAGTGGACCTCTTAAAAGAGGGTCTAGATTTCAGAAAGCATAATCAGATAGAGATTTGAAGCTGCATTAAATGCTCTTTTGGTGACTTTGTATGAGAAAATTATCATGTTATATAGCGGTCCATGTGACAGACAACTGTGGGCGGTCTCTGAGATTTGAGAGTGACCTTCAGTGGACAGCAAGAAAACAGGGTTTCCATCCTGTGGCTTCAAGGAAATAAATTCTGACAAAAGTCAGTGAGCTTGGAGGAGGATCTTGATCTCCAGATGAGAATGTGACTTGGTTTGACACTTTGATTTTAGCCTTGTGAAAATGAGTCCAGAAAACCCAGCTACACAGTCTCTGGACTTCTGACCTACAGCCAATATGAGATAATAAAATATATATTTTTTAAACCACTAAATTTATGCCAATTTGATATGCATTGTTGGAAACCAATATGGTGATTACTTATAAGAACCAGAAAAAGACATATTAATATCTCAAAGAGTTACCCTATGGTATTAATCAGTCTTTTTCACTAAATTTTAACTTTATTAAGAGTAGAGATTTTGTCTTGGTTGTCTTATTTTTTTCTAATTTACCATCTATAGCATTTTTAGGTTTAGGATTCAGTGGTAATAAATATATTTATAGCTGTTTTTAACTTCATCACCCCCTAGCCCCTGCACTTCCTGGTGTCTCAGAACCACCAATCATCCTGAAACCCACTTTTTTAGCATATGAATAAGAACCTGTGATATTTGTCTCTTGGTGCTTGGTTTATTTCAGTTAACATAATGGCCTCCAGCTCCATCTATGTCACTGCTAATGACAGGATTTCATTGTTTTTTATATGGCTGAATAAATTCCATTGTGTATGCATACCACATTTTCCTTATTTATGCATCCATCAGTGGGCGCTCAGGTTGATTCTATATTTTGGTTATTGTGAGGAGTGCTGCAATAAGCATGAGAGTGCCGAGATCTCTTTGATGTACTGATTTCCTTTCTTTTGGATATATATCCAACTAGTGAATTGCTAGATCATATGGTAGTTCTATTTTTAGTTTTTTGAGTAACCTCTCAAAAGGTGGCTGTAGTACTAATTTGTACTTTTACCAACAATGTACAAGGGTTCCCTTTTCTGCACATCCTCACCAGTGTCTTGTTATTACATGTGTTTTACATATAGGTCCTTTAAACGAGTGAGATGATGTTGCATTATGGCTTTCATTTGTGTTTCTCTGATGATTAGTAATGTTGAGCATCTTTTGATATACTTATTGGCCATTTGTATGCCTTCTTTTGAAAAATGTCTAGATCTTTGGCCCATTTTTTTAATTGAATTATTATTATTATTTTCTGAGTTGTTTGAGCTTCTCACATATTCTGATTATTAATCTCTTGTCAAATGGATAGTTTGCACTTTTTTTTCCCCATTCTGTGGGTTTTCTCTACACTTTGTTGGTTGTTTGCTCTGCAAAATCTTTTTAGCTTGATATAATCACAATTGTCTATTCTTAGGTTCCCTATGCTTTTGTGGTCTTACACAAAAGATCTTTGCCCAGGCCAATGTCCTGGAGTGTTTCTCCAACGGTTTCTTTTAGTAGATTCATAGTTTCAGGTCTTAGGTTTACGTCTTTATTCATTTTGATTTGATTTTTGTGTATGTCGAGAGACAGGGGTCTAGCTTTGTTCTGCACTTTATTTATTCAGTTTCCCCAGGACTACTCACTGAAGACTGTCATTTTCCCATTGTATGTCTAGTATCCTAGTCAAATATTAGTTGGTTCCAAATTCATGGATCTATATCTGGGTTCTCTATTCTGCTCCATCAGTCCATGTGTTTGCTGTTAAGAAAATATCATGCTGTTTTAGATACAGCTTTCTAGTAAATTTTCAAGTCTGGTATGTAATAACTCCGGCTTTGTTCTTTTTTTCTCAAGATTGCTTTGGCTGTTTGAGGTCTTCCATGGTTTCATGTAAATTTTAGAACATTAATTCTATTTTTGTGGATTATCATGTATTCCTGCTATTAGTCTAATATCCTGACCAAAATAGGTCACATATTTTTGTTGGATGAATTAATGAATAATATAAGCCAGTAGACATTATTATTTTAAGAAATTTATCTATGAAAGAGAGGAAGAAATACTTGGAAATGACTTCAGGAAATAGCAGGACTGATTGTAATATGTTTTACCATAATGTGTATTTTAGGAAGTTTATAAATATAAGAAAAGGAGATTGAAGATAAATTAACATCCACTTAATATGATTCTGTCATCATATGAGATATGGACAGTATACTAATTGCCACCTTTAATTTTGGAAAAAACACCTGAGGGAATGAGAAGATATATTTCTTAGAATCATTTATAGATAACACATAAAATAAAGTCACTTTAACCTTTAACAGTACAAAGAAGCACACACAAATCCACATACACACAGAAAATGAATTAACTGAAAACTAGTGTCCCTGAAAAATTCTTACATTTGAAATACAGTATGAGTGAACATGGGAGGCATTACAATCTAATGTTATATGGCAACAAAATCTAATACAATTTGAGACTTCATACAGAGAGCAATCATATCAGGGAGATTGAAGGTAATAGTTCCTGTTTACTAAGTTCCAGTAAGAGCATTGAGAATGCATTGAACATTTAATCCTAGAGATCTCCAGACTGAAAAGAAAAAGAAAAAAAAAGAAATCCATCTGTTACAGAGAGGTGAGAGGACAGGTACTGGAAGTTGGGGTGTTAGAAGAGTTGAGGCATTTGGGCAAAATAAGAAAATAACTTGTAACATCTAATTGACCCAAATCATTCCGGAGTAGGTGAAATTTTCTTTAGTTCCATGGAGAGTGTAGTCACAGAAGACACTGAAGAAATCACTAGAGCAGTGCTTCCCAAAGGTTACCTTGAAAACTATTTTTTCAGGAATCTGAATACACTCTGGAAAGCAGTTCAACCTTAAAATTTTTATCCCTGATGACTTTTTCCATCACTTTCGATTCTTCATCTTGCTAGTTAACATTTTTATCTTGCCTAGGAATTTGTCCTTTCTTTTCGTAAGAAACTGTAAGGTATTTTGTATAAAAATTTATCCAAATATGGTTATTTTGTTATTATTAACAACAATAAACAGACTCACAATTTTTCAAATTTCATGACAGTTAAAGCATACATTCCTTGTTAACAGAAAAGCATGTATTAATTTGATTTAAGGAAGTAAAAAATGAACAGTATTGGTGCATGACACATTGCACGTATTTATGCATTTACTGTGTTTTAGGGATATTCAAAAGTATATGTTTACATTTTTAAAAATGCCAGAAGAGAGTTTCTTAATGCTTAAGTAATTCAGAATTCTAAAATAAATGCACTAAGTCATTGTTAGATTTGAATGCTCTTTGACTTGATTTTCACAGTCACAAATTTCTGAAACAGTATTTGTCCTATAGTTAGATTTCTTTATTTATTTCCTTTCCTTTGTATTTTTTTAAATAAAAAAAATTTTATTAAAATAACCCACAAATTCCACAAATTGAATGGGTCTTTTTTGAGGTGTTTTGTAAAATGCTTAAAAATAATTCCTAAATTTTTTCAGTCATTTTCTTTATGCTGTTTTCATTTAATTGATGGTTTGTTTTATTTTTGTGTCTTTAATTAGTTCTTGATTTTGTCCTTCCTGAAAGAGGTAAGCCTGCTTAATAGGAGCTAGCCTTGGTGAGTCTCTTTCAGGTTTCCGTGTGATAGATGTTGTGCCTTACAGGCTGCTGATAGAGCAATGTGTGCTGCATGACGATAACCTATGCAGCTCCTTCTCCTTACTTCCTTTACAGCACCACTCTTTGAAAGAAGAAACCATTCAAAGATGTTACCCACTTCCTTTGGACCTTTAGAGTGAGGAGTTGTTACCATTGTGTCTGAAGTGACTGATGTCAGAGAAGTGTAAGAAAGTGAATCACAATCTTTCAAGAGTACAAGGACTTACCTGCCAGAAGAGGGCTAAATGGTAACCCTCAAGTCCTCTTATTGGGGCAATTGTGTTTCTGCTAAACAACCAGTTAAAGGCTTTTTAAACTACATTTTGTTTACAATAACTTATTTTCTTTTAAGTCAGTTCATTTTTGTCAAAGGAGGTAAACAATATACCTGGGGGTCACTCCACAATGTATACTATTTATACCACTATGCTATTTACTTACACCAGTTGTAAAAATTGATAAATACAAAGGATTAAAGTTGGAATAAGTGAAGGCAATTGGCACTTAATGAGCCATCTCCTATTAAATTCATCTAACTGATTTCACAAGGCGTTTCAACCAATTGAAACCATACATATAAAAATGTTTTATTATTTTCTCCTAACTATTGACAGATGTACTATCTCGAGTCTACTCTGCTGGTGAAAAATATTTCCTTGACAAAATTTTAGCCTGATTCCATTTTTAAAGGTAATTTAGACCTGAAATTCAATGCTGTCAATTAAATTTTAATCTCATATTCGTTTTTTTTTTGTTGTTGTTTTTGACAGAGTCTCACTCTGTCCTCCAGGCTGGAGGTGCAACCTTTGCTCACTGCAAACTCCACCTCCCAAGGTTCAAGTGATTCTTGGATTCTTGTGCCTCAGCCTCCTGAGTAGCTGGGATTACAGGCATGCACCACAATGTCCAGCTACTTTTGGGATTTTTAGTTGAGATGGGGTTTCGCCATGTTGGCCAGGCTGGTCTTGAACTCCTGATCTCAAGAGATACACTCACCTCAGCCTCCCAAAGTGCTGGGATTATAGTCATGAGCCACCCTGCCTGGCCATCATATTCGTTTTTAAAAATAATAGGTGAGACATGGCTCTAGACTAAAGGCAAGAGTTGTCTATTCTCTTTCAATTTCTTCCATCTTCTTGGGGCTTATTCCTTGTGCAATAGTGAGAGGAGGGGAAAAATAAAAAAATCTCCTACACCACTAATCTTAGTGATTTGGTATCTTCAATGTTAGTATTAAATGCTTCTTAGTTTGTTGGTAACTGCAAAGCTGGAAAGACAGAGTTGTTGACCCTTCTTATTGACCCTAATGGTGATATACATAGTTCATGGTTCAGTCTTTGGTGGATTGTGTTGTATGGACTAGCAGACCTTGTTGGCAGGCATCTCTCCAGGTCTTGGCAGTTCCTTTGGAGATGTGACTGCATCATCTGCTTGTTTCTCTTATAATGGCATCACATAAGATTCTTTGGAAGGATTTGATCTCCATCAATCCTGTAATCCTTGATCCCTACCATCTTCCAAGTTTCTAACTCAGAGGATAGTAGGCAGCAGTAGAGTCCATTTTCCTTACCTCATCAAGACAAGAGAATTAAGATTTGGAATTGTTCTCTTTTTGTCTGATCACAGCAAACAGTCATTTTTTTTTCCCCTCCAGATTTCTTTTTTTCATACTAGGATAGGTTAACCCATTTTGCAAATGAACATATATCCAACTGGAGTGAGATGTTGATCCTAGCTTTGAAAGACAACCACACATTTCAGAAGGTTTTTTAACATTCTGTTTTACGGTTTACTTCCTTGGGTTTGGAAGGGAGAACCAGTTGTATACCATTCCCCATTTCCTTATCAAAGTGAGAAAATAGGAGTGTCTTATTTCATAGTAGTAGGAATTTATCAAAGTCCACTATTCACTCTTGAAATATAAAAATTTCTATTAAGTGTTATGACCATATCAAGAGATCTACTAAATATGCCCAAACTGAGCAACCTTCTCAACAGGAGGTTCAGGTTCATTGCAAGGTGTCTGCATCATTAATAAGTTGGTATGTATTCACAGATATCTAGCTGTGATATTTATTCAAACATCAGTAACCCAGAATAATAATTTCATCATTTAAAAATTTATATGATTGTATGGATTTCTAGGTGATACTAGAGTTACTAGATTTCTAAAATAAATTTTCAGTCAACAAATGTATCATAAGATGCATTGTGAAAAAAATTCAGCTAATATGAGAGAATATTAGGCACTAATATTCTGTAACTAATAGGGCAGTTACTGATTTCTTAGTGATATCTCTGCTGCTATTCTTGTTCCCTTAATAGACACATTTTAACAAAGCGGCCAGTGTAATTTTGAAAAACAACAAACAAACAAAAAACCTAAGAAACAAAAATCTCAACAACTTAAATTAAATCAGGCCCTCCAATGGCTTCCATCAGTCTGGAGTAAGTTCAAACACACTGAGAACCCTGTTAAGCTTTTCCAGAGTGACCAGGGCTGGGTTATGTTTTAGCATTATCCCCTTCCATTATTTTTCTATTATATTTCTCCTCTAGCCACATTGGCTCTCCTCTGTCCCTGGAACATATTCCACAGATTCATTTCTCTAAATTTTACCTTTGCTGTTTCTTCTTTTCAGAATATTCTTCACTTATCATTTTTCATAGTAGACTTTTTTCGCTTCAGGTGATGCTACAGGCTGAGTTGTGTTCTTCAAAAACTTACATTAGGATCCTTAATCTACTATGTGACTATATTTGGTGATACATTGATTAGGTAGTAAAGTTAAATGCATTTGTAAGGGAGGGGGGAACGTTCTACAAGACTTTGGGTCTTATAAGAAGAGGAAGAGAGAGAGCAAGTGTGTGCTGAGGACAAAGTACAAAATACCTTGCACAAAGCAAGATGGTAGCTGCTTACAAGCCAGAAGAAGAGGCCTCAGAATGAATCCTACATGCTGGCACCTTGATCTTACACTTCCTAACCTCCAAAATGATCAGAAATAAATTTCTGTGTTTAAGACACTTGCTTTATAATATTTTGTTATAGCAACCTGAGCAGACTAAGACAGGTGGCGACTAAAATGGCACCCCCTTAGATAGAACTTTCTTGGCTGCTCATAACCTCTAACTAGTCTGAAGATTAACATCAAATATGATTTATGACTTGATCTTTATTCTCAGCTTTCAAACTTATTCTCTCTTTTCTATTATTTTATTCCCAATGCTTAACACTACTTCCCTTTTACTTTTTGACTATGGCTTGGACTTCTCAGATCCAACTAACTTTAGCCTGTACATAGTAATCACTTCCATTGATCTAGCATAGTGCTTGGGGATGTCTTATCCCAGGGGGCCCTTCATGGAAACTATTCTTATCAGGTGTTTCTGCGGTCTCACGAGCAAGACTAAGATATCACAGTATCTTAGTTAAATTTCGCTCCAAGAATTGTTGTGATTGCTATCACAGCAATGCCCCCTCCCCTGAAAAAAAAAAGTATAAATCCTTTAAAATCTGCCAAAATATCATATGTGCTTAAAATTAAATAATTAGGCTAAATAGAATATCTCTGGGATTATACTGGTCTTTTTTCTTTGTTGGAACATACCATAAAAATGATTGGGATATAATGTGAACATTATATAATGTTTATTCAAATATCACAGAAAGTTAAAATTGCAATATACAAACCATATTATTAAACATAATTTTCTCCTATTTTAAACTATAACTTTTTGTCTAAAATAACAAATTAACAAGAATAAATCTAAAACTATCTTTCCAAACAATTTCCCTATTAACTTGTGAAACTCCCTCCCCATCATATGTTTCACACAAACACACAGACACACAGACACACGCACACACACACACTCCTCTATACTAAGCTTGTTTATTTTTCTCAATGTGTGGAGGTACAGTGCTTTTAAGATTATGCATATGTTCTCAATTATCCAACCTGGATATTTAATAAATGTTGTTACCTGAGATGGTAGATGGAGTTTCATCCCAAATGACTCTCGCGTGTCATTTGGGATGAAACCAATAATAACCTACAAGAACACTAATAGTCATGGCATTGCAGAGATCACAGAACAGAAAGGCTTTCAGACCAAATTTAGATATTGAATCCCATGATTTATTAAATCAATTTGAAGCACACATCAAATAACAGAATGGAAGAGATAGGGTAAATTAATATATTTAGGATATGATGCAAGTAGGGTAGAAATAATTAGTGAAAACACAAGTTACTTAATAATCTTATAGAATTTGTTTAGGTATATAATCACATGAAAAATGTGTAACACAGTATATATGCTCTTTTATTACATATTTTTCTATAATAAATCATCTCTACCATTACGTGTGAATTTACATAATAATGGTAATGTCTCTAGCATTGCATTGTAATATTACTTTTGTAATTCCATATTATTAAAAAGTTAGCTATCAATGGCTATTTTTATTGTAAGACATATTGTATAGAAATTGCACAATTGTTAAATTCCCTTGGAGTCAATTTCCTGAAACATAACATTTGAATAAAGGGAAATGTGTCTTCTTGAGAATTTTGAAAAAATATTATATATTGTGTCAATGTACAGTTTCTATTGTCATCACTAGCATGGCTCTTGGGAATTACTTACCACAGAGTGGACATTCAGGGTTACTACTCTTAATAGGTTCTCCTCAAACCTCAACTGGTATAGGATATTTATTTATTTATTTATTTATTTATTTGTATTTCAGAGAATGGATCTTGCTCTGTCACCCAGGTGGAGTGCAGTGGCACAGTCATAACTCACTGGGGCTCCTAGGCTCAAACCATTTGCCAAACTCAGACTCTAAAGTAGCTGGGATGACAGGTGCACACCACCAAGCCTAGAAAATTTTTTATTTTTTAATTTTTTGTAGGAAACGTCTCACTGTATTGCCCAGGATGATCTGGAACTCCTAGCTGCAAGGAATCTTTCCTCCTCGGCCTCCTTAACTGCTGAGATTACAGGCATAAGCCACTGTGCCTGGCTGGATTTTACTTTAATTTGCAAGTCTTCATAGACATTATTTTAAATTTGATGTAGACAGTTAACATTTTTAGCAAAGTCTCAGGATACAAAGTCAACCTGCAAAAATCACTAGCACTCCAATACACAAACAACAGTCAAGCTGATGGCCAAATCTCGAACAAATTCGCATAGGCAATTGCCACAAAAAGAATAACATACCTAAGGATACAGCTAACCAGGGAGGTGAAAGGTCTCTACCATCACTTAAGGTGTGGGTTCCTTATAAAGCGGGCATTTTGGTCCCCATTCACTTTTCCTCTCTTTCTGTCTTTTGTTTTCCTGCCCTTCTGTCTTCTGCCAAGGGATAACAGCAAGAAGCCCCTCACCAAATGCTAGCCCCTCAATCTTTGTCTTGCTAGCCTCCAGAACTGTGAGAAACACATTTCTGTTCATCATAAATTACTCAGTCTCAGGTATCCTGTTAGAGCAGCATAGAATGAACTAAGACAGCCTGGCATGAGAGGTCAAAGTCCAAGCAGGGTGAGGAGACAGTCCTTGTAGTGACAACAACATGGAGAATGTAACCTCAAACAGTTTTCAAAGAGCATCCATACAGAGTGATAATTGGCATAGGATATCTGCGCCCCAACGTAGTGAAAAGTGTATCCACATGGGGAAGGAGGTGATAATGAAAATGGGGCATTTGTTACATACAAGGGAATTGATCAAATAAGTAAATATAATAAGGATGATGAAAACCAGATTTCTTACTGTCAAAGAAAAAAATTCTAGCTATAGAAAGACAAGAAATCTAGACAACAACTGTGGTGCTATTTGTATATTTGCATATATTTGTTAGATACATATATTTGTTAGATATACATCTCTATATTTCTGGACGGTATATATACACACACACATATATATATGTACATATGCATGCATATGTGTTTATGTACACACATACACACACACACACACACACACACAATCTCCTAGCTCAGCATGTTTGGCAATAATCACATTTCTATAATAATGAGTACAGTTATCTCACTGGAAAAGAAACCCAGCCTTCTTATAGAAATGGCTGATTTTTAGCCTGGGTTGGGGAAAGTATAAGATGAGCTTGGAGCGTCTCATGCTGAAAAGCAAGAAAATGTTTAAATAATGTAGGAGATATATCCAAATGCATCAAAAGTCAGTTTCATTGGGTCATCACTGACCAAACTAAGGATAATTTGGTTATCAAAATCATGGTAATAATATATTATTTTGCACTGAATATAATAGGAAACCATTAACATATAGATTTAAATAAATTAGCAAATAGAGAGTTTGATAAAAAAATGGGATATTTTGTAGAGTAAAAACAGCTCCCCACAAAAAATTATATTATTATAACATATTACAAAGTGGGGGTAAAACAGTAGCTTCATAGTGAAGTTTGGCTGATAACACCTTAAGTGATCCAAGTGAACATCAGCAATAATTGGACAAATTGATACTGCATGAAACTTGATGGAAGCAGTGAAAAAATATACAATTATGACTGTGATAATTCTGTCTGAAAACCTTATAATGAGGAAATATTAGACAAACTCAAGTAGAGAGACAGTTTGCAAAATAACTGGCCTATAATCTTCATAAATGCCAATGTCATGAAAATCAAGGACAGATTGAGTAAACGTTCCAGACTGAAGGAGACTAAGGAAACAAAACATTTAACTGCAGTGGATGATGCTGATGGAAACGTTTGCTATAAATAATGTTCTTTAGATCTTTGACAAAACTTATAGAGGTTCTGAGCATTAGAAGACATAATAAAGAGATTCCATGATTGTCCCAATGACTCCCACCCCTGGTTTTCACAATCTAGTGTAATTCCCTTCCTTTTAGTGTGAGCTGGACTTAGAAACTCATTTCTAATGAAAACTATATAGCAAAGTGATAGGATGCCTCTTACAAAGAGAATGGGGCTCCCACCTTGTGCTACATCTGTTGCTTTTTCACTTTTTCACTCCGTTGGAAGTTTACTGCCATACTGTTCACTGGTCTATGGGAAGGCCCAGCTGGCAAGGATGTGAGGGAAACCTCTGACTAATAGCTCTTGGGGAAGTGTCTCCTTCAGCTCAACAACCTATGAACAACTGAACCCTGCCAATGACCAAGTGAGCGAGCTTGGTACCAGGTCCTCCCTCAGTTGAGTCTTTAGACGAGACCACAGCCAGAGTAAATACCTTGCTTGCAAACATAGGATACCACTGGAAAACGTAGCAAGCCACACTTAGATTCCTGATCCACAGAAATTGTGAAATTAAAAAAGTTTATTGTTTTAAGCCATTTTGTTTTGTAAATGCAGTAGTAGATAACTATTACAAATGGTTGTAGTATCAGTGTTTAAATGCAGTAGTAGATAACTATTACAAATGGTAGTAGTATCAGTGTTTAAGTGCAGTAGTAGATAACTATTACAAATGGTTGGTAGTATCAACGTTAATTTGTTGATTTTGATGATTGTATTATGGTAATGTAAGAAAATGTCCTCATCTGTAGAAAATTCGCACACACATTTTGGAGGGTAATTTCTTGGCAAACTACCCTCTAGTGATTTGAGAAGAAACATTTCTTTGTAATACTTCTAACATTTTATTTTTCAAAAAAGGTTTGAAATGAAAATTAATATAATAAAGCATGGAGATTTTTTACTGTCTGATCCCTTTCTTCTTGGAAATACTATTATTTCCTGGAGTTTACTTTTGATTGTATATCGAGAAAATAATATTTACTTATCTAGAAATCATATTGTTTTCCATGGATTTAAGAAAGGGGAGATCAAATATCAAAGTGAATTGTGTGAGTTCAATAGCTAACCCAAATATCTCTTTTCTCTTTATTTCTGAGGGAAGATTTGATGATGCAGAAATTATTCACTAAAGTATATAACATTTATGTTACTTGCAGAAATGTATCCCTCCATTACTATAGATAGTTAAGAGTTAACTGAGCAGAAATAAAATTGCATATAACAGGTGAGAAGAGAGAATAATGACCTGCAGGGCAAGCTCATTGTTTTTCTGATTACACAATAGCCATTGCTACCTGAGAGAAGAAATTTGGAAAAATGATAATTGTCATTAGGCATTAGACTTCACATTAAATATTTAGATATTTTATTTTCCATAATTCTGTTTTAAACCATGCATTTCAGCTTCTCCATATTTATATTTTTATTTAAGCAACACTTCTTTAAAAAGTGGTCATTAGATAATATAAATATCTATCTTTTACTCCTAAAATAAGAAGAGAAATAGAATTATTGATGTGCTGTAAACCCATATTCATGGAACTTTTATTACTGAGTTAATAGTAACTACTTTGGAAGTATTTCTACGAACATTTTTTTCTATCGAAAAATGTGTGCTCTGTGTAGATGTAATTCTGTATTAAAATTTTATTTTTTTGAATTATTTTAAACAATTTTACTACGTTTGATTACTAATTACCACCTGCTCAGATAAATGAAATCTATGAATAGTCAATGAGACTCTTTGTGATCAGCACAAATTCTATAGTATCTATAAATAACATGAACAATCACATAGTATAGGTCAAGCTTAGGCAATCCATAGTTTTTGTGTTTTCAAGAGAAACATGAGTCAATACTAAGGACAATATGCCTTTACACCATGTTCTTGAATTTTTATTTCTGTTCCTTTCTTTCTACTTTCTTTTTTGTGCATCTCCTGCTTTCTTCATTTATAGCCTCACTTCTAAATATTTTGTTCTGTTTTTGTTTTCTGAGCCTATTTCTGCTGCTGCTTCTTATCATTCAACATTACCCTGCAAAGATGAATTCAGGTAAGATATTCATATCTTTTTCAAGACTACCTTTGATAATACTATTGAAAAAAAGTAGGACCATATGATTTAAAAATAATTAAAGAACTTAAGAAAGTTAGTAGCAACTGTAAAGCCAACTGTGATGTAAGACTTTTATACATGATTTCTATGCTGTAATGCTCCTTGCATTTTTCAACCCAAGGATGTGATCAAGACTACTTACTTTGATATCTGGGCTGCATAATTTATGTCTTCAGAGGAAAAGTCACATGGAATAAAGACAATGTACATCAGCCCTCATCTTCAGTGAAATAGGGAACTCCAGCCATCCTGCTGTTCTCCAGGACCATATAACAATATTAGAGTTATGAAACTATTTATTAGAATCTCAGTGTTAAGAAATTCTTCTTAAATCCTTGGAGGTCCGTGTGGCTTTTTGTAAACATCTTAATTTTAGGAAATTTGGCAGAATGTTTAATTACCAGAAGGAGAACATGCTATTAATCAAATTTGGCATTGCTACCATTACAAATAAATGATTGT
This sequence comes from Homo sapiens, assembly GCF_000001405.40. Taxonomy (NCBI): domain Eukaryota; kingdom Metazoa; phylum Chordata; class Mammalia; order Primates; family Hominidae; genus Homo; species Homo sapiens. Next base: position 82,537,360 of record NC_000003.12, read on the forward strand.
AGGCTAATTGAGAATTTAATTACTTCATTCAGACGTAACATTGTTTGATTTCTCTTTTGAAATCTTCCCCAAATAAAGATGGCACAATAACATCTTGAAGAAAGTACTGATAAACCTCATTTAATTTGTTTTTTATCCATTTTAAGATTCTACTTCTATTAAAAAGGAACAGCTTGTTGATAAGAAAGCAGTCCAGTATTATGACAGATTCAATCTCCCCAAATGACTGACTTTCAGTTTGGCTCCAGTGAAAGATTATTGCCTGAGATGATATTTATTTTGCTAGTTCTCATATAGTTCAAACTCCATAGTTGAGTCAAAATGTTAAAAGAATAAAATGGTCAGAGAACTCTGAGAAATCTTATTAATTTTGTAATGGTGTTGAGAGCTTAACCAAATCTTTTTCTTCCGTAAAGGAATTGCTTTGAGCAAATCAGAGGGCTTTTCTTTTTAACTGTTGAAAAGGGGTAGACCTTTCTCTGGTTTGCTATGTATGGAATAATAAATGTGAAACCTAGGAATGTCTTAGGGAAACTTGTCTATGTTAATTGTGATTTTGGGGATACACACACTCAAATATGCATAGACACGTGTGTGTGTATACACATATAAATATATAAAACTACTAATATGAATGAACAGAGAGTAGAAATAAACCAAGTGCGGGAAATTCCCATCTAACTTCTCTTGCCTGTGTAATAATCTTTGTCATGACCTACCATGGTAACAATAATAAAATATTTAGATACATTTAGACTCTCAACCCACATTCTGCTGCTTTTTTGTGTTTATGACTGTGATAAGCACAAATATAACTTTAGCTGCTATTAAACAGTATAGAAATGCCACAGAGCTGTTGTTTATGAAAAATTCATATGGTATTTTATGATTAAATCCAGGGGTCAATAGTAACAAAATGTCAACTGGTAAAGGAATGGCAGGTGTGGTGAAGAATAGGTATTATTCTACATATCTAGAAATAATACATAATCAAAACTTCCCTATTTTATTCATTCCATGTTCGCATTATTTTCATACAGTGCACCCAGGTCCACACTGGTGATCAAAGAGATCTGCTGTTGTCCTTAGGCCATGGGTGCTGAGAGACGATGGGCTAATACCATGAAAATCCATGGACCTACTCATATCTATGAGTTCTTTTTTGTATCTATAATTCTACTTTGAATTGACCCCTTGTGAAAGTTAGATGATAAATGTAGTTCATATTTGCTTCACTCCAGTTTCTCTGTATGTGTTTTTCAAAAATCTAAATCCCTAAATACTTTTCCATGTCTTCTCTGTTCTTCTATTTAGTTCACAAGTAATAATTAAATATTGAGTGTTTATGGTGAGCCAGGCACTCAGCTAAGTGCTAGTTACACTTTGGATAAATAATGTTTTTAAAAAGTGAAAATTCCTGCTTTTTTTGGGCGGGGATCAGGGCTCCATGCTTAATCCATTTCTACCTATAACATTTCATCCACTTAGGATTAACGGGTTAGTTTTCTGCTAATTTCTAACAAAATAATTATTAACATAGCTTCAATATAACGTATTCATCTTTTGACAGAAGTCTTCTTTGCATACAGTACTCTCTAATTTCTAAATAAATGTTGTATGGTGATATAGTTTGGATGTATGTTCCCTCCAAATTTCATGTTGAAATGTGATCTCCAGTGTTGGAAGCAGGGCTTAATAGGACTTGGCGTTTGAGTCTTGCGGGTGGATCACTCATGAATGGTTTAGTGTCCTACCAGCGGCAATGAGTGAGTTTCTCACTTTATTAGTTCCTTTGAAAGCTTGTTGTTTAAAAAAGCCTGACCCCTCCTCCTCTCTCTCTGCTTCCCCCTCTCTGCCATGTGACGCACCTGCTCCCCTTCACTTTCTGCCATGAGTAAGAACTTCCTAAGGCTTCACCAAAACTGAACAGTTGTTAATGCCATTCATGTACAGCCTGCAAAACCATGAACCAAATAAACCTCTTTTCTTTATAAATGTTTCAGTCTCAGGTATTCACTTATAGCAAAAAACACAGACTAATACATATAGTATGCATCTATTTATATGTGCATAAATATAGGCATTAAATATAGCAAGTATAATTTTAGAAGTATTAATTTAGTGGGTCCCAGAATTTAGAAAAAATATGTCTTCAATAAATTTCTTTCAGAAAATTTTTAAACACCGACCTCAAATATAAGGATTTTCTCCAAAATCATATAGCCATTTTTTCCTCTAAAAAGTAGGCACAAGGCAAGGTTCCCTGTAGATTTTTTTTTCTGAATTTCTCTAAGTGAAGGAGGCTTTTAGAATTCTATTTGCATTTATCTATCATATAGTCTCCTCTGTGCTTCTTTTTGTGCATCTTTCTCACAGTTAAAACTGACAAAAACATACTATAAATTTATTTTTATTTTACTATTTGCATTTTTGGTAGAAAATAAGGTGATATACTTTAAATGCAAAATAAATCATGACATGTAATACACATTATTTATTTAAATTACCCATTTAGACATATTGTTTATAGCGTACTTTTCTTTTGAACATGCCATTTTAGAATTCTCTTATGTAGCGTTTCTTAATAACTAAGTACCAATATTTCAAAATTTTCGACATTTTGTTCCTTTTATATAGAGGAGAGATTACTTTTCAGGGAATCATCATCTCTTCCGATTATAGAAAAGCTAATAATCTGTAATAAAGCTCAGAGTTTAAAATGTTAATTATAATAAAAGAAGGAAAATAAAATCCTGAAGAATGGCTCTACCATTTTCCAAGTACTTTAGTCATGAGTCTTGCTACTTCACAGATGCACCAAAAAAGAGATAAATAGACAGTTTCTGTTGCTGGTCCACACCTTATTCCAGTGAGACAGGGGACAGGGTGGGGATACTGCTTATGAATCAATAAAAATGCTACAAGTTTGACTGAAATTTCAAATGAAAGCTCTTTGTGCCATGGGATTCTCTAACAGCTCATACAATATAGAGACTGAACATTTAGGGATTAATTTATTTAAAAAGTAATTTATTTACACTTGTCATCATATTTATTTATTTGTTTAAAATCAGAGAAATTCAACACGCACACTTCAGACCAAGAAGAGCAGATCTTGAAAATGCTCTAAAAATATTCTAAAATTTTGTTAGCAATTTTGAATTGACAACAGATCTACATAAGATGAGTAACTAAACAATGCAGAAAGGCCACTCGTAGTACGAAACTCTTCAAGATTACTTTCCTATTTTGTCTAATATCCAATTATGGAAATAATAATAATACTTGTTGAATACACAAGACATGTTAAAACTTCTTGTCACTCATCTCTTTGTCTTTTTTCATCAACAGTTGCCAACAGTAGTTACAGTTAGTCATAGAATAAAAAGAAAAAAGGAAGAAAAAGGAAGTGTGACAAAAGAGGAACTGACAGCACTGGGAGTCGGGAATAGCTATAGTCTAGGAAAATGATTCCTGGCAATCTGTTTTACAGCTCTTAGGGAAGTGACAGCAGAAAAGAAAAATACTTAATGAACAACAGATTATATGCATAAAGATTTTTACTATATATAAGAGAACCATGTTCAACAATCTAGATGCCTTATTTTCTGAAGTCTTTATTTAGGTCTTCATCCAACATACATTGACTGAGTGTTTACTATGTACCACATCCTGTTCTAGGCACTTTGAATAGGACAGTGAGCAAAGGAAACACAAATACATGTTTTCACGGACCTTACATTCTAGGTGGGAAAATGGGAATGAACAAATGAGTTAACTAAATATGTAATACATTACATAGTGTTTGGAATTAGCATATATAGTAATAGAAACTTATATAGTGTTACTATATATACTAAATATATAGTAATATCTATTGTGATAAATGTTAAAGAGAAGTATTATATAAAGTACGAAAAGGGTATGGAGGAATACAATTTTCGTATGGTGGTTATGAAAAGTATCACTGAGAAGGTGCCTTTTGAATTTGGGGACAGTGAGGAACTCTGTAAGATGTGGGAAAATAATATTCTACATGGAGGGATAACAATTGAACGGACTCTGAGAAAATGAGGTGTTACTGTCTGTGTCTGACAAAGAATATGGGACAATCTTGTTAGAGGCATGTGAAGGAGAAGAAGAGCAGGATAGGACATGAACTCTTGGAGGTGACAAACTAAATTATGAAATGTTTCATAAGCCAATGAAGGATGATTCTAGCTTTTGTTCTGTATGAAGAGGAAAACATAGAAGGAAAATAATCTGATGTGTATTATAAAAGGACCTCTCTGTTGATTGCCATGATGGTTTTATGAGTATATACATACATCGAATATTATTTAAATGAACACCTACAGTATGTATAATTTTTAATGCTAATTATGGCTTAACAAAAGCTGTCAAAAAATTCCTCTGAGTGCAACGTTGACAATAGTGTCCCAGGGGCAAGCTGTTGCAGAGGCACCTGTCTGGGATCAATGCAATAATGAAGTTGTGAAATCATAGGACCTTGGACCAAGATGAGATCTGTGAAGATGATGAGAAGTGAGCATGTGCTGGATACATTCAGAAACTGATGAGTATATCAAGGTTTTCTGTCTAAGCAACTATGAGGATAGGTTTCTTATTACCTAGGACACAATAGATTAAACGAGAAGCAGGCTTGGGTATGGACTAACAGGAGCTCAATTTTAGAAGTGTTATGACTGAGATTCCTAACAAATATCCAAGTGAAGCTGCCAAATAGGCAGTTGAAATAAAGTTCAGTTCAGTGGGGCAATACGGGCTGATGATAGGAATTTAGAGCTATCTACCTATCTATCTGTCTATCTATCTATCTATCTATCTATCTATCATCTATCTATCCATCTATCTATCATCTATGTATCTGTCTAGCTATATATGCATATTTCTCTATATCTATATGTCTAGCTAATGCTTAAAAGTATAAAACTGTGTGTTATTACTTAGGAAAAGAGTAGACTATGAAAGAGGGACAAAAATACTAATCTATGGGAGCATTTCCATAATTAGAAGTTGGGAGATGATATAGAATCAGTAAAGGAAACTGACAGAAAATGGTCAGAAAATAGAAGGAAACTCGAAGAAGATAGAGTGATTAACCATGTAAATTACTATTATTATGCAAAGTAAAGTGGACCTTTAGAAATAACCTTTCACTGAAACCCCGTCTGTACTAAAAATACAAGAAAATTAGATGGGCGTGGTGGCGGGCACCTGTAATCCCAGCTACTCAGGAGGCTGAGGTGGGAGAATCCCTTGAACCTGGGAGGCAGAGGTTGCAGTGAGCCAAGATTGCACCATTGCACTCCAGCCTGGGCAACAAGAGCAAAAATCTGTCTCAAAAATAAATAAATAAATAAATAAATAAATAAATAAATAAATAAATAAATAAAAATTACCTTTCATACCATTGAAGTAAGGTCAATGCTAGGCAATTAAGAGGGAAAACCTTATTTGACAAAGTTTAAGAGAGACTAGGAGAGAAATTAGAGGCAGTGAATATAAAAAACTGGTTTGCTGGGTTTTTTTCTCTAAAGGGATGAAGAGAATTATGGCAGTAACTGAAGAAGGAAATGGGCTAAACTGTTTAAGGTGGGAACAAACAGCACCTTTCTATGTTAATAGAAATGAACTGTTAGGCTGAGAAAATTTGATGTCACAATAATTAGGGAAGAATTGCTGGAATTATGCCATTAAGCCATCAAGAGGACTTCTGTAAGTGCATGAATATAGAAGTTGATCTTAACTAGGGCATGGATAGCTCATCCAAAGAGAACATAGGATACATGCCTACAAATGCAAATAAGTGGATGAATATGGTTGTCCCTTGTAAAAATCCAGGTCTGATTTATTTTTCTTTTTCAATAAAATAGGAAGAAACACTATTGAGTGTAAGGTTGGGGAAAAGGGTGTTGGAAATATGAGAAGGAAGAAGAAATTATGACATAGGCATTTTAAAGGTAGAAGAGTGAATAAACTAGGGATGTCTAATAATTGCCTGGTAGCATTAGGACCTACTTGAGGTTCATAAAAACGGATATAAATGAAGAGCAGTCAGCACAGTATCATTATTTTTTACCTTAGCCATGTTCAAAAAAGCAGATGCAGTTATGGGGCAGGAAGAGAAAAGATTTAAAAAGGATTTTGGCTTAGTCAAAACGAGAGAGATACAGGGATTGGAGTTCTGAGTCCCATTTTTCTGGCTTCAAAACTCTTTGGCTAAATTATTCTACTATATTCTTCCTGAAGCAACCACATAGGTTCTGAGGAGAAAAGGAAAATAAAATATGTCATCTTCTAGATGCTTAGAGGAGGTAAAAATATGTAGATACCAGAGATTTAAAAAAATTAATTATAACCAGGTTTGTGCTTTCCAGTTAGATTCATGGTACTAGATAGTAAATATTTTCAAAGTTTCTTTCAGTCCAACTAGACAAAAGTAGATGAACATTGTAAAGGGACCCTCCTCCAACAGATTTTTTACCATATGAGAAAACATATTTTGGCAATCTTCCCCTCAGTAAATACAGTAAAGATTGTGTTAATAAGAAAAGAAACCACTTTTGTTAATTTTAAAGTTTTACATATTCTAAGAAAGGCTATTCTTAATGTTACTGTTGATGTTCATGTATGTGGCAAACACAATGCCTAATGAAAACTACCATATTTTAGACTCAGTTTTACAGATTCTGTTTTAGAATAATTACAAGGTTTGACATAGCTGTTACTTGTGTGCCTAAAATTAATACAAAACACTTAAATTTTAATTACAATTAATATAGAAGTAAATATTTTAATTTCAAACATTAGAAATCTTAAATTTTAATTATAATTAATATAGAAGTAAATATTTTTATTTCAAATATTAGAAGTTTGTCTGAAACTTATGACCAAAAATAAAAATTTAGCAGTTAAATTTGGCCACTTACATCTACTGCACTCTTACTATATTTCACATGCTGTTTTCATATAATTCAGATGCTGTTTTCAGTGCTTTACAAGAATTTTCTCACTTGAAGTACACAACACTCTGAAATAGAAGCTAAAATCATTCTCATTTTACAGAATAAAGCCCAGAGAGGATTTATACAAGGCCATATATCATATCCATTGTAAGAATTTTTGTGTAAATATCATCTGTGTAGATAACCATGCATTCCTTTGTACAAAATATTGCATTATAATTTTTGAAATCAGCTTGTAGTCATTTGGAATTTGGTATTTGTTCTTTAAAGGAATATTCCAGTTTAATCCAAATGAAAACGCTTTAGGAAAATTCAAATCATGGCCCAATGAGAAGGGAAGGGGAAAGAAACAAACATAAATGTGAAATGGAAAATAAAATATATTATTAAAAAACACAATTTCACAGATATTTTGTAGAATTCCTTTATAATCTGCCATATTAGACAAGACATTTTACACAAATTTATACATACACACAAATAGTATACATGTATTATGTCTACACACAGAAACACAAGTTGAAATACTTGAGCATTTTGCAAACTTTCTAGCAAATGCCACTTTTTTGGAAATAATGTTAAAAGGCAAAATCATGTAAGTTAAAGACATGATCGTTAGATAAAATGTACTTTATACGTTTAGCCTAACGAAATATATGGTAAATTCACTTGAATCAGAAAAATTAAAATGATCTCTCCAAGCTAGTGTGGTTTCTAGCAGACAAAATAAATACACTAGCTGACAGTTATCAGAAAGTTATTGTGTTATTATATGTTTTTAAGTGTTAGGGTATTAAATATTAGGATATTTAATGCATAATGCAAACATTAATGTAGCATTTTCTGTTCAACTAATTATGGTGATTGATAGCAATATAGATACACAAGAAAGAATTCCTGACTTGCAAGAGGCCATTGTGTAAAGAAGGGAAATACATATTATTATAAATTACAATCTGGCAAAAATAAAGACAGGATGATATGAAAGCCCCTAGAATGAGTATTTGAACCAGATTTTTATGTGTGAATATGCGTATGGATATCAGAGAATGTTTCACAAAGGAGGTGAGAGAAAGTAGAATACCAAAGATGAGTAGCAATTAGCCAAGTTGAGGTAGACTGTAGGTGGAAAGGAAATTGCTAAAAGAAATACCGTTGCAGCTCTGATTCAAGGCACCAATACCTATCACCTAGCTTATTGCAGTAGCCTGTTAAGTGGTCCTCCTGCCTTTACCTTTTTTCCCTACACCCAGTTCTTAGCAACTCAAGTAACACTTAAATTGCTGTCTCTCAAAATCTTTCCATGACTGCCAAAATCCTTAAAAGACCTTCTGGGATTCCTGCTCCCCTTGCCTTACCACACTGATTCACATCAGCCCCTCTCTTCTTTCTTTCTTAAATGTAACAGGTCGGCTTCTTAGCGTATTTGGACCTGATGTTCTATCTGCTTTTCCCTATATGACTTACTCCTTATTTTTCTCCGTCTTTATTTAGTGCCACCTTCTCAATGCTACCCAACTTGACCACCAAAATATAAATAAAAAAATCCCTTCTATAGTGCATTTTTTTCCTTTTTCCTATACTCTCCCCCCTCTCTTTTTTTCCCATAGCATTCAGTACCTACTAATAAAGCATGAGATCTACTCATTAGTTATTTTTGTATATAATGTGTTTCCTCTGGGAAAAGGAGATTTTTCAGCTGAAGGAAGGTGAGGATTCTTTCCTGTTTTTACTACTCATGCATGCCAAGGGCCAAAGGCATTATTGAGCATATAGTGAGTGTTCAATAGATATTTATTGAAGATCACAACAGAATGGAATGTTACATGTGAGAAGGTACAGAGAAGTAGCCATCTGACTATCTAGAAACTTGAAGTGGTTCAGAACTTCTAGAATCTTTAAGCTTGAATGTTAATATCAGAGAAATACCATTCTAAAGACTTTGCAAAGGCTATTTTGACCTGATGCTAAATATAAGGAATACATTTATCTTGAGCAAATAGGATAGAAAAACCTAGGGCTCACATTAAAACATGAAAAATGTATGTCAAAAGAGTAAACATTAAACTTTTATTTAGTAAGCATTACTCAGAGATGTAAAACTGTCAGATGCATAGGGCCATATAATAGCCTCAGCTTGTTTAGCATGGGCTGGAGAGAAAAAAATTGAAAATGTGAACCTCCCTTCACTCCCACTCCAAATTTTAAAAATGTGATACAAATAATGAAAGGTCTGGCCTTATACAGAGTTGTATAAAAAATTAGAAGTTACTTTTCCTTGGAAGAGTTTGTAAAAAAGCTAAGTGTATGCCTGTTAAAATAAGTCTATTATGTCCCTGTAGGACACTTAAGTTAATTGCAATAACAAGCTATATATGATTTTATATTAGAAAAAAATCCTTGGCTTCTTGTGAGACAAAAAGACAAAAGGTAAAGGAAAGCTTTTTGTCATACAGATTTTCTATTAAATCTCTCTCTCTCTCCCTTTTTCTCATACTTTTTCTATTATAAATTAGAAATAAAGTTTAAATCACTTAGAAGATTATTTTTTATACCTAAGAAGCCAGACAGGAGTATAATCTATTCTGAAATTCATGAGAAAATCCTTTAAAATGTCAGACAACAGTTAAAACACTCTATGATTAGGGCATATTTTAATTTTCTTAATGTCAAAACTCTGCTGTGGGAAAAGCTTATGCACACTCATTTGATATTCACATGAGCTGATATTAAAATGGAGCCATACTCTCAGAAGTATCGATATCAGGGATTGAGAATATCTTTAAAAAAAAGACCAGTCTGACCTTCAGGGAAGTCAGTACAGAATGAGTTGAACCAGAAATAAAATCACTTTTCAACAATATACAGCATAATTTATTTTTAAGGGAGCTGAGCAAGGGTGGGTCCGCTTTTTTTTTCTTTTAAAGGTGTTGCTCACTAAATACATCCCCATCTAATAATAGGGACTGACCTAGGAGGGTCTTAGTATGGGTTGCATACAATGATTTTAAGTGTAACAGGCTATTATTCTTTCAAATGAAGCATGAGGGGCAATGGACGGGCTCTGTGAATATCTTCCAGACACAGATAGACAAAGGCAGACAAATTTAGTGCCTTTAACAATTTGTAAATATTTCTTAATATCATGCAATGTACCAGGTGCTAACCAGTAGATATTTTCTTTCATTGAGCTCAGGCTTCATAAGTGCCTTTTACTGTCCTGGGCACTGTGCTGTAAAAGGCCCTGCCCTCAGGGTGTTACATTTTAGTGAGAAGGACAATAAAAATATGCCAATATTTAAGTAGGGATCAGGACTATGAAAAAATGGCAAGCAGGATATGGGGATACAATATGACAGGGAAGTCACTCTTTTTTTTTTTTTTTTTTTTTTTCCTGAGACAAGAGTCTCGCTGAGTCGCCCAGGCTGGAGTGCAGTGGCGCAATCTTGGCTCACTGCAAGCTCCGCCTCCCGGGTTCACGCCATTCTCCGGAGGGAAGGCACTCTTTTTGATAGCAGTCAAGAAAGTTCACTTAGAAGAGGGAACATTGTAGCAGTAACCCAAGAAGTTGGAGTCAAGCCACGTGAATATAATGGAGAAGGGCCTGTTTGGAAGAGGGGATAGCAAGATCAGTAACATTGAGGCAGAAAGATGCTTTGCATATTTTTGGAAAAGTAGATGCCTAATATGGCTGCAACAGAGAGAAAAAGGCAGAAGAGTCATAGGTGGTGAAGTAAGTACAAGAGTCACATAGTTTCATGTTATGGAAGATCTTGCACACGACCTTGCCACTAACGAGGGTTTTAGACATTTTACTCCTTGTGAAGAAAAGCCATTGGAGAGCTTATGTAACTGGATTCACACTTAAAAAACTACAAAGAGTGAACATTCAGCCTCCTGTAATTTATATTCTCGTTGCTTTGACTACAAAGAAATGAACTTGAATTTGGGGTTGGTAACAGCAGCAACTAAAGACAAAACTGTACATGACCTCATATTCTACTATTGGTATTAGCAGGTACTGGTTCTTTCTATTTTAAATATAAAAGGTCATAGTTGGCAGGGAAATCTGAGTCTTTTATACATACTGTTTCCACTCAAGAGAAATTTTGACCATGGCCTCCTTAGAGAGGGCAAAAGAAACCACAAAAAAAAAGAAGATGCTTTGCAAACAAAATAAAAACAATAAAAAATAGCAATGCCGTCATGTATTGGACAATATCAATACAATTGTTGAAATGTTAAAATGGAACATGTAAAAATATAACAGAAAACAACCAAAAGCAAAAAACCTAATGTAATCCTTAAAAGTACATTTAAGACACGTGAAGAAAAATTAGACAACCATGGCCAACTTAAAATAATGCACACATAACTGAGCTCCTTCTGAATAATCTGACTTAACTGAGATATGTACAAGAAATACTTTTCAAAGTAGTGACCAGACTCCTTGGAAAGATACTGGTTAGGAACTTCAGGAAACTCCAGTAACATGCAAATTTTGTGTATGGATAACAAGTTTAAAAAACCCTTATTGGCTTGCTTAATAGACGAATAGCAAATAGCCCTTACTTATACACAAAATTGAAATCCATGTAGTTATCTGTTATTTATTTGTAAGAATCTATGTTATTTATTTATAAGAATGTACGAAAGGACTTTCATTCTTGAATTATTTTGCAGCCCAGCAGGAAATATAGGTCCCACACTGAAAAAAACTATTCAAGTCCAAAAAATTGGAGTCATATCTTGACATAACAGTGGATATGTTAATATTTTTTGGCTAACACAACAAAAAAATTAGGTAATGAGGATACTGGGAATATTTACATTCAATGTCAGATGCAAAGTACTATTTTTTAAAAAATGTAGGGTTAAATTAAAAACACTGATTTTGTTGAATCTTCTTTTAATATATGTTGTACTAATATTATGATTTACTGTTTTACTTGTATTTATTTGCATTCTGTGTTAAAACCTTGATTTTTCCTTAAAATAACAAAAAATAAGTTGAAGAGAAAATAAATGTGCGTTATCAGATCTTTGGATCACATATATTCAAAATAATGAGTTCTGTTCATTTGATATTATTTGGATACAAACATACTTTTTTTTCTTTAGTTCCTAGACCATAAAATAAACTCAGAAGTCAAATAAAAATTTATATCCAGGTATTGCTATTTTAGTTAAGTATAATCTTTAACTTTTCCATTAGTTTTTGTGAGACTGATTTTTATTTTATGAGAAAAATATTTAATATATTTGAGAAGAGTAATGCTAGAAGAATTTTTCAAATTGTATCTTTATCTCACATAAGTGGATATATAATGAATCATAAGTTATATAGCCAATTGCCAGATAACTGGCATTGCATATTACATTTGTTTTTTAATATATATTTCTAGATTTTATAATGATTACTGGAATATATCCTCCCTACAAGTATGAACTACAGCTGTCTTGTTTATTCATGTATTTCTATTGTGTTGAATATTCATTTGTAAAGAAATGAATGGATAATATTTCTCAGTACATCTTGGCTCCTCTCTACCCTTTAAATTTCCCTTGTTGTTATTGTGTCAAGGCCTTGTATATTACGGCTTGCTTTATGATCTTCCCAAGTTGAGTCTGTATCTTGATATATTTTTCTTAACAGAGATGCTTTTCTTTTTAATTCTGCTTCCATATTCTCATAGCTTCAAGTATTTTCTATGCATCACTGACTTCCAAATTTATAATTTCAACCTGGTCACTTCTCCATGCTCCACACTTCAGGCCACATTTCGTGCTTGGTATCTCCACTTAGATGTTCCATAGCCATCTCAAGTTTACTATGGCCAAGTTGGCATATTTGATTGCACTCATCTACCCCAGATATTTTCCATCTGGTCTTCCTTATCTTGGGGATCAAGCTTGAAATGTAGATGTCTCTTTTTGATGTCTTTATATCCCTTATCTGCATGCCCAAAATATCAGCAAGTCCCATTGGCTATTTGTCAATACAGATGCTTCTTGAATTATAATGAGGTTGTGTCTGTAGAAACCCATCATAAGTAAAAAAGTCAAAGTATATTTAATACTTCAAAAATAAACATTATAAAGCCAAAAATCCTATATTAAGCCATCCTAAGCCAGAGAGTGTCTGTATATATTGAATTTATGCATACTTTCTATTTTTACTATCATCAGCAGCCTTGATTTAGGCCACAATCCTCTTTCGTCTTAATCACCATAATTTATCTCTAACTGATTCACTTCCCATTTATACTATTGCCTTCCTATACAACATTTTCTACATAGTAGTCAGAATGTCTTTTTAACTATTAACACTGCACATTTAAGGTGCAAAATTTGGTGTTTTGATGTGAAATCACCTGTGGAACTATCACCACAATCAAGATAATAACTGTACCCATCACCCCCAAAGTGTTTGTAATCCCTCCTTCATGCTCCGCCCACTCTCCTTTCTACTCCATCCTCAGTTACCCACTGACCTGTTTTCTAAGGATTACAACTTATATCATAAGTAGAAATAATAAGTTGATTTAGAGAGCATGTACTCTTGTCTGCCTGACTCCACACAACATAATTATTTTGTGATTTCTCCATGATGTTGCATATATCAGTAGCTGGGAATGTTTTTAAAGAAACATTGTTATCTCTTTTCTATTTAAATATGTCTATTACTCTTACATGTAGTGGATATTTGCTCTGTTTATAATTGTTAAATATATTTGAACACCCTTACGGCATTTACAAAATGTCCATGTTGTAAATGGAATTTGTTTCCTATGCTTCTGTAGCACATTACCACAAATGCAGTGGCTTGAAGTGACACAAATGTACTCTGCTCCTGTTCTGGAGGCCAGAAATCTAAAATGAGTCGGCATGGCTGCATTCCTTCTGGAGGTTCTAGGATAAAATTCATTTCCTTGCCTTTTCTAGATTCCAGAGGTCCCTTGTGTTCCTTGGCTCATGACTCCTTCCTCTATCTTCCAAGTCTGCACATGGCTCCTTCAGTCCTCTCTGAACTCTCTTTCCATTCTTATATCTCTTTATCTCTCTCTCTCCTTCTCATTCTCTCTCTCTCTCTCTCTGACACACAACTGTAAAGTCCCTTTTGATATGTGAGATAACATATTCATAGATTCCGGGAATTAGAATGTGAATATCTTTTGAGGAGCCACAACATTATTCAGCCTACCATATGAGCCCTTCAACTTTAAAGTAAAATTAAAATTGACTCTTCAAGGCTTCCTTACCGCCAGAGTGTAGGCATATATTCTAACTTCCACCAATCAGAGTCATTTGTGCAAGTTTACAATTTGGAGAGAGGAAAATGAGAAAGTAGAGGGGAATTTATCTTTTGTTGTGTATGGGTGGATACGTTTCTAAATTCTCAGGGGTAGCGGCAGTGTAACTTCTGGATCCCAGTCCTGAATAATGTCAGTGGGCACTTTATTGTCTATAAAAATTGCACTGTTGATGTCAAAAGATGACAACATGAAATTTTTGTTAGAGGGAACCCAAATATTTTGTTTTGGCAATTTTTTCCTAAGGAGTTCTTTGGTCTACCCATTTCTTCTTCTTCTTTCTTTCTTTTTTTTTTTTAAGTAGATACTCTTACTGATATGAAAATTGGTCCTTAAAGTGGTTTCTGATGAGAGATCCAAAAGAAAATGAGAATCTGAAAATGAATATGAGACCTGGATGCTCCAAGAGCCCTGAGGTGGTGGCTACAACTATACAATTGGACTTTAATCAGTACATGGAATAAAGTGGCAGAACAATTAATTAAAGTATTTCCTGGTTTCTCTGGAAAGAAATGCCCATGGAAGAACATGCTTTGATGACATTATGATTTGCATAAGGAATATAAGAATTAAGGAGTTGTTTCTGAAGTTGTGTTAAAAATTGAGAATTATGAGCTCAATATCCAAAATTTTAGTTGAAGGAACTCATAGAATAGATAATTTTTTTATTAGTGTAAAAGAATGTTAACTAAAATTGAATAACTGAGATGCTCAAAGGTCATGTTGAAAATTTTAATTTCAACGTAATTGGGATCATAGCCTCACCAAATCTCTTTTATGATGAAGAAGGCATTGATAGGCAAAGAGTGGGGCCCTCTGATTTGCAATAGGGCATATGGAACTGTTCTTTCCACTCAGTGTTCTCAGCCTTAAGCCTTCCTACTTCTCCTCCACCAACAAAAACAGCACCTCTTCCCCTGGCTGATGATGCTGATTCTCCTTTGCTTCATGACACTGTCATGACATCCCTTGATGCCATTAGTCTGCTTGGAAAGCTACTTCTCACTTCCCACCCAACACCTTTATTAACTTTCATAGCTAGAAATGATGGCCTCCATAACCCAGGAGGCCAATTATTAAGTTAAATATTGGAGAAAAAGACACACCTGGAATTTATATCAATCAAAACATATATATAGCTATGAATGAATTCTGAAGACCAGAAAAATAATAATTTCATTTTTATTCAGGCTAAATGAATCCAAATATGTACATTTACCAAACATTCTAGAGCCAGGGTTTAAATTCTATCAGGTGTGAATAGCTCTACTTTATTTTAATATTTATTTATTTATTTATTTTTCAGAATTTTAAAATAAATACAGACTCTGGTGGCCTATGAAAAACAACGTTGATACACTAAAATTTCATAATGTAATGTTGTTAAATAACATTTACAGGAGGCCATTGGTTGAACTGAGCTTCTATACTAGGCATCAGTGGACCAAACCAGAATGGAGTTACTCATGCTGGGTTTCACATAATCAAACTGAACTTAAAAACAGGCCAGTTTTTCAGAAAACAGAAGAGTCACGGCAACCAATCAAAAGGGCCTCAGTCAACCCCAGTCAGCATGTTAAAGAAGTCCTCTCTGCTTTAACCCATAGAACGAAAGTAACGTGAAGTAACTTGGTATTCACAAATCTGCTTCCTGTACTAAGCTGTTTCCTTGTTCTTGCAAAAGCCTCTTTACCAAAATTGACTATTCTACCAGGCCCAGCAGAGCCCCTGTCTATTTTGTAATGAATTGCTAATATAAGCCAATTCAATCTTTAAAAGTAATTTGTTAATTTCTTTTTCTTTCACAATGTAGATGACGAATGCAAAGATTCAGGCTGCCAGAAATGTTGAAATGAATTTATCTTATGAAATGTACCCAACCACCCACTAAACCTAACTGTATTCCTAGCGGGGACTCAGATAATCAAGATCCCTGGAAAATCAAACTGCCTTCCTCACAGGCTAGAAATGCAAGTTTATACTTTGCCATTGTAAAGAGCTTTTGGTGTGCCAACAGGCATGTTACCAGATTCATAAGGCTGGACATTCTTTATATAGTTTCATAGTAGGTAGCAAGGTGTCAGTGTGTTAATAGGTGCATACAATTTTTTCTACCATTTTTTGTATCTGAAACTTTGACATCATTTATTCTATGTTAAATATCTCAAATGTTAGAATAGAGCTTCAGAAAAGAATATATGTATTTTCTGCCCTCTTATTCTATATAATCAAAGACAGAAAATCCAAATAGACATTGTCATTAACCAAATCTAATATATTAGAAAGTAATCACAATATGTCATAATAATGTGCATGTCTTTGTCTTGTATTTCTTTGCCATGATACAGTGAACATAATTTTCATCTAATTGTAATAGTAACTCACACTAAGATATTATGTTTGTATTTAAATAATATTTATTATTAAATTTAGGGGGGAAGTAAAAAGAGAAATATGTAAATGAAAGACTTCTAAGATTTAAGTGCAGGTGTAAAGGTGAAGAAGATAATATAAGGCAGGTATTTTGTGTGTTGAGAATAAAAATAATGTGCTTGAGGTTACTTTATTTGGGGAAGAAATATCAGAAACAAAGAATGGGGAACTATGAAGAATGAAGGATGCATTTAAGGGAAAGCAGTACACTGCTGGGGGGCAATGGGTTCACTGCCATTCAAACTTAAGAAGACTTGGCACAAACCTCAAAACTATCTGTACCAGCAACAGAAGATGAATCTGTAACTCCTGTCCCCTTTTATTCAGGGGGTGCTTGTGGAACATTAATTCCCTTGCATTTCCATGCTCATGCAGGAAAGCCACACTGGTTTCCTTAGGCATCCCAAGATTGCCGTTACCAAGAAATCTTTTGGTCTCTGCTCTTACCTCGATGAAGACTCCTCAACATTCTGATTCTCATGATGGCATGTTACAGAATGGTGGTCTAGGAGAGAAAGACATTGATTCAATTGCTTTACTCTAAGGAATGCTTTTAAATTTGTGCAATATTCACTCAGTTGATTTTCTTGAGTGAAAAATTAATCTAGATGCCATTAGCATAAAATATACTTAGAAATGCATTTCAGTTTGAATATAAAACTGGTAATTAGAGAACTTTGCATATAAAAAAGAAAACTCTTCACCTGGAATAACCCAGTGCCTGCTGTTCATTTGCATATCCTCACTTTACAGATTCAGGCAGTCAGAATATGCTAATAGCTGCACCCATTTCATATCCTAATACAGGAAATCCAATCGCTCAATGATAGGCATAGATGTGAATTACAGAGAATCTCTAAAATTGCTTGAAAATGAAAAAGTATTTCTCGCAGTTTTGCACAAGTTCTCAGGGAGACCTTTCATGAGCTTCAGCGAGCAGTCCATCAGCACCAGTTTTAAGCTGCAGAAATGAAATCTTTCTACCACAGGAATATGTAATCTGAATTTTTATCACCTCTTTTTCCTACCAAATCTAATCCTCTATTCTTAAAGAGTTGATCAATTTAGCTCCACCTTATAAAAAATCTACATATGTTCTGTTTCGATATAGGAAAAAAATTCTATGGTGGCTAATGCAATGTTCTTGGTTCAAATTAAGCAGCAGCAATTTTAATTTAGCTAAATAACCTTACTTGACTCTCTGCAATTACACTAAACCTCTATTTAATCTCACACATTAGAGTATCAAGCTTTATCCAAGACATGGTTCAAAATTAAGGTCCTCAATACCTACACCCAAAGATGTAAATTTAATCAGTCCAGGTGTGGCTTATGTTTTTGTTTTTAACAATCACCTAAATGATTTCAATTCTGCATTGGGAAATCCTACTTTAAGTTGTTAAAAAAATAAGACTTGTACAGTACATACATCAATAATATGTAAGAGTTATTAGCAGCATACATCTATATAATAAATCTAAACCAAATAGTCTCATATATTCCAATGACTGCCTTCTCTCCAGTTCCCAAACAGATATAGGCAGCATGAGAATATAATAACAGCCAGTTGTAAATTGGAACATTGTATCCTAACTACAAAGTGTTAGAGGAGAAACTGCCAAATGCTTAACCCCCTTTATGGTTATTTGGGGTATCATGAAATCAAATCATGAAATTTCTCATTGGGTTAGAGGGGAATAATGTCAATCACTTAAAATCAGTTTTATAAACCACTTGGGGATAATATCCCAAAGTGTGAAAACTTAGCACATGTGTTAACATCATATAAAATTTTATGTATAATTAACCCCAATTCCATTTTGGGTTTCATGCTTTATTTGGCTATTCATTGCTGTCCATGCAGTTCTTGAACCTAGAAATGATCCAGTAAGTCTACAGTGGAATGAGTGTTGCTCATGAATAGATTTTTGGAAACTACACATTTACTCAATTTACTCAGACCCAAATGGCATTTCCCTTTACTTTCTTATTTTGTATGTCACATAGCCATTTGTATTAGAAGCCAATTGAATGGGCCTGGTGGCAATGTTTCAAACTGGAGATCCCTGCCCAGTGAGATAGTTTTAACACCTCATTGCTTGAACGATATTTTGGAAAACGTCCCAGTTCTACCTCGAAAACAGAAGGGACTGGGAAAAGACGTGTCTGTCAACAGGGCTCTATATTACCACTTCAGTTTCTGTCAAGTAGTCCACTAATGCATTTACCTTCCCTTCTTAGTTATTCACTGTACAAGCATCAGGCTGTTGGCTGATGAACAGCTTGCTGTCAGTGGGGCAGCAGTCCAGACAGAACACACATATCTCAGCTGCCTACGGGAAGGAAAAGCTGCAACTATTCCATGTAAGTGGAATAATTAGTGGCCATCATTTGAAAGGGTCAAACTTAGTACAAATGAAAGTAGAATGAGCATCCCACTGTTTTTGAATCCACAATTTAAAGTCAGATTCACAGTTTAAAGAATGTCTCACCTCTGTCTGTTTGAAGTTGGTTTGATGACTGAGAACGTAAACTTGGCACATTATGACCAGCATGCCAAATACGCAGAAATCGCAACTGGACTGAGCAACATATTTGTGATGGATAAATGGGATACATTTCACTCTTCAGCCTTTCAGTATGAGTTCAACTAAATTCTCATGGGACAGTAAACTTCTCCAATAATGGATATTTCATTCTTTAGTTCCTCAGTGTATTCATATTAGTTTAAGAAAAACACATTTGTTATTGTTTTCATTATAATTCGTTACTAACAAATAAATAAAAAGTATATTGTACATTAAGAGCCTGAAAAATAATTAGAAGTGCCAACTGGAACACTCTACTTTTTAGTTGCCTTTTTTAAAGGTCTATTGTTTCAACATACCTTATATCTGGTCTACTGTATTTATTCCTTGTTTCCCATTCATTATAGATTTACTTTATTAGGTATGTTGCATGAGAATGAAGCTAAATTAAAAATTAGAAAAAAATTTACATATCAACTTTTTATTGATTTTTTCCTTCTTAATAATGCAATATTTAACATAACACAGGATTCACCTTTGAGAAAGCTGATTCAGAAAACATATTTATTAGTATCAAATCAGTTTCTGAACGTACACTGACAAATTTAGAAAATTATTATACACATTGAAGCAATACAACTGTGTTTTCAAAAGTGATATTAAAAACTCTTCACTTTGTCACAGTGAAACTATCCAGCTGTTCTTTTCTTTTAAATTTACAGTTTAAATAATTTAAAGCAATTGTAATAATGTTGATTGGCCATAAGGCATATCTGGTTAAAGTTTTTCAGTAACTTCTAGACAAATGGCCAAAACTTGCAAAATTATTGTTCATTTTTTATTCAAATTAAATGAAAGATTGCCCTGAAATATTCCAACGTAATAAGTTGGAATAAAGTGGAAAGGGAAATAGATTTTTTCAAAGAACACTTGTATTTAAATTGATACTAAGAAATAATATCATTTCACCAGTTAACACTTTCATAATGCTGAGATATAAAAGAAGCTTGTTATCTATAAGCAGGCAGATGTTCCTGAATTAATTCATGTACATCACTGGGAATTTGGTCTTTAGGTAAAATAAAATTTATCATACTAGTTATAAGGCAGAGAAATATTAAAAAGAAATCCTATGTGATTTATTGGACTCAGAAGAGCTGGAATAGGTAGAAATAATTCTCTTAATTAAGCATTCTTGTTGATGAGTTATTTTGTTTTATCAAATGTGTCAATCTTTCTCAGTTTCAATAATATTTTAAAAAATTATATTTAAGTAAAAATATATGTATTTGGAATATAAATAAAATACGTTTAGGAAAATTAATATGTATTGAAAAAGTATCAGATGCTGTACTAGAACTACAGTTAGTCTATTCTATAAACTAATTCTAAATTGCTCAGCAGTATACTAGAATCAACATAATATGCCCTACCCAATATATTTATAATCTAGTTGAAGAGATGGTATAAGAAAATTGAAAAGAGATTACAATTGTGTATTTCAGTAACCTCAGTTTGCTATTAGTGTATACTAGTATACTCTATGATACCACTCAATATTTCTGTACTGTGCTACTCAGTGAAGGGTAAGACCTCTAAGTAAAAGGCCAATTAGTAAAATGTAAAAGTGCTAAGTCATGTCTTCAGGAGGAAATGAACTCTGCAGGATGGTTAGATTTTGAATAAAGAGAAGCAAGAGCATCTCAGAGATAAGAGAACTACATAGGTCAGAGTGCAAGAATGTGGAAAAAACGAATATGAATGTAGAGTAAGGAAACTGATGTAAGTGCATGTACCTAGCTTGTTTCCTTAACCTAAGGCTTCTTTTAGGTATCAAATATGAAATTATCTGGGAAGAAATAATACATATGGATCCTAAGAATGGAGAAAGCAAATAAAGTCTTTTTTTCCACACAAAGAATTTCAGAAGTGAAAGGGCACAATTTTTTTTCACTTCATTTACTAAAATTTGTCAAGAAAGTGCCTTGAAATGTTTCCAAATTTTCTATAAGAATTCCTATCATTACTTTGAACAACCACTAATAATCTGAAATTCCTGTCGATTTTATTTTCTGAATGAATTCCCCAACTTTTAATGCTCCCATACCTATCCAGGGTCAGAATTAAAAGACAAAAATGTGATAACTAAAAACAGTGTCTTCTTTTTCCATCTTCAAATCCATTTTTGTCCAACCAACTCTTTCCTTAGGCTGCTAAATTTAAAGATTTTTCTATATCCACATATTAATATTGGAAATAAAATAAAATATTCTCTTCTAATTTTATGTGGACATTTTTCTTCCTCTTATTGCATTATGTCCATTTATTTCTGGTTTCTTTTCCTAATTTTAAGGTATTAATTTATTTTTCTCAAAATTTAATTTTATGATGCTGAGAGATCATAAATATAGAGAAATAAAAAGTAGGAGAGTATGAAATGAAGGGGAAAAATTTAAAAATTTAACTATAGTTTTTTTCTCCTTGCTGTTCATTTTATTAAAAAGCCAGGATCATTTACTATAGCTGACCAGGCAAATCTTGAACACAATAATGAAAACTAGAGGAAGTTCAGAAATAGTTAATGATAAAACAAGAGAAAACCAAAAAGTTGTGAGAAAGATAAACAGAAATATTTAGTTAAAATCACATTTTATATTCTTCCAATGCCTAGGCTAAACATGTTGTATTAATTCTGTATTTTGTTCAGATACATAGCATTCTCTAAAATTGTACCAAACAAAACTGATGAAATATCCCTTATTAAAATATCTCATTTACCAAGATGCTTTATTTCTCTGCTACACAGAAGAAAAAAAATCCCTCAAATATCTAGAACTGAAACAAATAAAAGAGATTTCCTGGTCAAACTTGAATTACAGATTTAAAAAATGAAGCATAGAATATTTATAACTTTTCCAAGAAAGCTCAGGTAAAAAAAAAAAAGAAATAACCTTAAACTATATCCTGCATATCTATATCTAATCTATATCTCTATATATCTAATTTATATCTAGATCTATATCCATATGTCTAGATCTATCTATCTATCATATATCTAATCTATTTCTCCATTCTTGTGCTCTTTCTAACATACAAATTTACCTCATACAAAGCAATGTAATTAAATTACATAAACATTAATATCACACACACAATAAAGAAGAAAAAGGAGGAGGAGGAGGAAGAAGAGAAGTAGGGGAAGGGAAGAAAAAAGAGAAATAAGAAAGTATTTAAAAAGAAGTGAAAAGTGAAAGAAATGAAGGGAAGAAAGTGATAAGGACTTTTTTAAGTGCTCAAAGAACATGTGGGAGATAGTCTATTATATTTGCATAGTGTAAGGAGCTTTAAGAAATCTACTGCCCACTGAAAATTTTTAAAATAAGATGGCATTGAGGGCCAATTCTTCATTGTATTTCTACATATCTTGTGACCACTTTTGCCTCAGAATACCTTTCTGAGGATGTCTACACGGTATTTATCAGGTTTGTTCTGTATAACTTTCATGGGTCCTGGGCAGGGTCAGAGTTGGGAGGAAGAAACTAATGCAAACCTTAACATGCATTGGTTCCTTTGCAGTGAAATAAAAAATAAAGTCCTTTGTCTCTGACTCAGACATTTTATGTTCTCTGCCAGCATCAATGGCACTGTAGCAGGATTACTTGTTAGCTTACAAGTACCACAGAACTTTCTCAATTTCTAACTGAGGGCTACCTCTCTTTAGGGGAAGTGTCTATCAGGGTCTTATGAAGACGCAGGGTATGTAATATACCCCTGTATATTAAATAAGTTATCATTGTCTTTATAGTGAATGAAATTGTAATCAGTTTAATCTATTCTATAGTACCATGTGGCTAAATAGCTTTATTACTTTTTCTGATGTGTGATGTGATAGACAGTGATTTCTTGCTAAAAATATGGCATATCTGTAATGAGCACATTGTGATCTTTGCCGGGATAATGGTCAAGCTTGATTTTTCATGTTTCTGGGGTTGGGGGCACAGCTTCAGCTTCCAAGCCTGTCAGTCTGTGCCCATTCATTAGCACCAAAATTGTTCTAGGATCTAGAATCCAGTCGAGAGTAATTGGTAGCTGGCTTGATTGAACCTGCTATCATGCCTGTACCTGCTTTTTACAGCAAAGCATCAGATGTTAGAATATTATTTGTCAAGCACACAGTGAGATAAAGAATCTGGAGATGCTATTTTTCCATGTCACAAAAATTAGAAAAGATATTCTGGAAAGATAATATAGTGTACAGCTGGGTCAATCTTGCAGGCCAAAATGGAATGTCAAAGTGTCAGTTGTGATAATTATAAGATACATTGTGATTAAATGGACTTCCATCTGGAGCACTGGCAGAAGAATTATGCCTTGAGAAATTATGCCTTGAGAGATATAACTCAAAGGGCTAATGGCAGTTGGTAGTGAGTAACTCCTGAACACATCCAATTGACTACACAGCAGAATTCAGATTGACAGTCACTGACCAAGTTTGGCACTCTGCTGAGATATGGCTATGATAGGCATCAATTAATTCATTGTTAAAAACAAAAGGTCCCTCCAGGCAATGTTAATAACTAAGAGTATACAACTTAGAATATGCATTTTTATTTGTTATTTAACTTATTCCTAAACAAATTGTCTTTTTACTCTCTCAATTAGAACATCACTGTTTTTTCAAAAAACAGGAATTACATGTATCTAAATGAACTCAAGCAATTGAAGCAGTTTTGCTATAAGATATTCATATTTCTTGTATGAAAATGACATTGACGTGATCTTCAGGTATTCTTGTTTCCTCTAACAACTGAATATACATCTTAATAAAAATATGTAACTAGAGCTTATGGCAATTCTCAAAAATTTTAAAATATCACTTTGGTCAGTCAATAATATGTGCTAGGTGCATTCCAGTTCCAAAATATTATTGAAGGTGATACAAACAAAATAAATTGTATAAATGCTGAGGTTAAAATGCTTACAGACTAGTTGGGAATACATAGCATATGTCTTTGAAAAAAAGGAATTAAATGTATATAGGGAATGATATATTCAGGAGTATAAATGATTTCATATTATAATGTTCAATATATACTGAATATTGTCGGCAAAGTTAATTGAGAAGGATATAAAGAGTGAAATGATAAAATATAAACCTTAAGTCCATATGAATAGTCATGGCTTTCTTCTCTGAACACTACTATCAGGTATAGTTTTCTCCACTGGAAGACTTAATTTAGATACAATTTTAATTTGAAAAGATATTGTATCAAATGACAGCTAGCGCATAGATTTTTACAAGCCATTGGATCAACATGACTGTGACTCATTACAAAAGCAAATGCTTATTTATCTACATTAATCTCTACTCTTCTAATTAAAAAAATATGTTAGAGGAAGTCAATATGCTCTGGGCCATGTGAGTCACCAAGAAAGGTATTAATTATTGATATAATTTACGGCATTTCTTATTTCTAGCACTGGATATACATTTTACCCAAATCTACCCATTTCACACAGCTTATACAACATCTTGCTAAGATTCAAATATAAACTGCAACCCACAACATCATTGTAAGAATTTAAAATCTCATGTTAATAAGATAAATGTCCATGACTAATTTTCTTTCTAGGTGTTCATATTTTCTTTGACTTGCATCCCTTTTTCAACTAAATGAGAGATTAGGGCTTGATTTTTACTGAATTGTGATGTCTTTTTTTCTTTTTTCCTCTTTCTTTTGAATATTATTCATTTGAAGAATGTGGAATCTCCACTGAAAAATGAAAATTACATAAAATTCATCAAGAGATTTGTATATTATTTCATACATTTAAAGTATTCTATTTTTTCACTACTTACATTAGGTATATCCTGTTTTCTCAGCAAATATATCTATTTCTCAGGCAATGTATTTCTATTTTTTTTTTTTTTTGAGACAGGTTTGTGCTCTGTTGCCCCAGCCTGTAGTACAGTGGCATAATCTCGGCTCACTTCAACCTCCACCTCCCAAGGTCAAGCAATTCTCCTGCCTCAGCCCTGTGAGTAGCTGGGACTACAGGCATGGGACACTATGCCTGGCAAATTTTTGTATTTTTAGTAGAGACGGGGTTTCACCATTTTGACTAGGCTGGTCTCGAACTCCTGACCTCGAGTGATCCGCCCATCTCCGTCTCCCAAAATTCTGGGATTACAGGCATGAGCCACTGCACCCAGCCCATTTTTGTATTCTTTAGTTTACATTCTCACCTTGTTATTTTGAACTTAGCTCTGTTTTATTTGCTGATTTTCTAAAGCTTGTAAGAAATGAAATGCTGGCAATATGGAAATGAGGCCTCGCAGAGGGTTGTTGAGATCTCCTGCTACTCAAAGAGATATAAAATAGATAAGACCATGAAACAAAATGTCCTTCTGGGTATTGGCAATTGTAATGCAACTTCTATTGCAGTTAAAACAGTTTAGCTTCCAAGTACAAAGACTATTTTTTGGTTCACACAGCTGTTCCAACAGATTGTCTTCTTGAGCGAAGTACAGGAAGAGATAAGAAGTGGGTATTTGTAAGTGAAATCTGAATTTAATTATTTCTTAATTAAGAGAATGTTGTTCAATGATACCAAAGCACAATGCAAGAAAATAGAATCAAATGGCTAAAGAGATTTTCTTTAAAGCAATACAACATTAAACCAAATGTTGAAAGTACATCCAGTGAAGATAAAGAGCAATGAAAGATTTGAGAAAAGACCTGACAGAAGATAAGTTATATCAGGTGCAAAACTCATCATTTTGTTTTATTACTTTTCTGACATTAATTATAAAAGACAGGTGACCTGCCAGCCGAGAACGGTGTATTCATAGAAACTGTGAGAAAGTTTTAGATCCTGTAGCAACTCCATTGGGAACAAAGCCCAAGATTTCAAATTGATTTTACCAAGACTATCATAAATAATGATGTCAGCACTAATCAGCTATTCAAAACATTTAACAAAAAATTGCCAATTAATCCTTGTACTGTTGATAAATAATGCTTTCATTTACCAAGGCACAGAGAGAAACAACTTAAGTATTACTAAATTCTCTAAAGTTTCTAAATGTTAAGCAATAATAAAACCTCCCCTTTCCATTCTCACTTCTATCTTCATACATCCAAAACACACATACAGTTGGACTTCAATAACTGTAGTCCCACAATAAATAATTTGTGAAAAGATTTCATTTTCATCACAATAGAATTACTTCATAACATTGAGTATAGGCACAGCTAACAACGCCTATAGCATATAATCTTGCAGTTTTCTTCTTGTTAGCCCCTCCCACCCCACTCTATCCCACTTTCTGGTCTGCAAAGTCCAAATTAGATTTCTTCTCAGACAACATTTTAGCACCCTGATCATTATCTCCCTATAATATAAACAATTTTGCAGTTTTGTTTTTATATGTATTATTTCATAATTACCCATCTACTCTATTAGCAAAATCCATGTAAGAAAAGATCATGTTTATTTTGTTCAGCACATAGTAGGTGTTCAATAAATGTTTATTAAATGAATGGTTTATCTAGAGAGATATGCAGTTATTACTCTTTATACAAGGTGAGAATGTCAGAAACTCAAATTGTGTTCTAAAACTGAAAATGTACTTTAAAAATGTTTACACTCTAAAAAACATTTAAGTAAATAAACATATACATGTACATATTCAGCATCAGTGTTGATTTAAACAATATGAGTAGAAAATAGCAAAATTATTTTAAAATATTTTTAAAGACTTTCTCCCTCCCCCAATTCTAATCCATATCATTTGAACTCAACTAAACACATTATTTTACTCCTTGCTTCTCAGCTATGGAAAAAATGTGTTAAATTTTGAAAAGGAACATAAGAGGTAACAGAGAAGTGACAATGAGTACCATTTATTGAAAACTTATTAAATGCCATTAAATCCTTAAAATGGCAAATATATAAAGCAGATATTATTAGTATGCCTATTTTACATATAATTAGTATGCCTATTTTAAATATTAACAGACTTACATAGCTAGTCAGTTATAAAGATATCTGTCTTCACGAGGTAGTGTATCTTAGCAAAACAGTGTCTGAAGACCTCTTTTAAATTATTACTGCAAATCATCTTGGTAGGATCAATAGTCCTGTACCCACAGCAGATGGTCAACAGATACAAGAATTGGCAGCTTTAGGTCAGAGCAGTTAGAAAAGAAATGATGCTAAATATTGGCCAGGATGCAAGCAGCAAGTTATTTTAGCTCCTGTTTACAGTACCCATGATAATAGGACAAATCTTAAATAAGATTTATGCAGAGAGGTCAGTGGTTCTGTGGACATGTCATCAAGATGAACGTTCCATAAATACCTGTCCCAAAAAGTCACCAAAAGACATAAACAGCTACACTGGAAGGGATCACAGTTATGGTCTTCTAGCACTTAAATCTGATTTTCTGAAGGCAGAACTACATACTTTGGTATATAAATAATGTCTCACAGTCTTCACTTCTCATTGAGGACAAACGTTCCATATTAGTAGCAATGTATGTATCACAAGCAGTACTCCCAACACTTCCATCCACTAGCAGGAAATTTCAGCTTTTCTCAGTATTTATCTTTATAAATACCATGCCCCACTTAAGATGCCTACATGTATAAGTCAAATATTCCATAGACCCCATGAATTGTTGAGTCCTACACTTGGCCAGACTGGAAGTGTTGGGGTGTGTGTGTGTGTGTGTGTGTGTGTGTGTAGTGGTTTTGGTTGTGGGGATGAAGTCTAAATTTTACAAAAAGTTTGTCTGATTAATCTCTTGACCATGTAACCTATGAACTTTGGAAAGGTCTTCACCAAAATTCTCTGCTCTTGACCCTGTCTAGTTGTTACACTGCCATCCCTAACCCCTTCAGGAAGCATTTCAGAAAGCCTAGTAACAGAGTTCTTTCTTTTTTTCTTGTTTTCCTTCAAAATTCTCTACTCTTGACCCTGTCTAGTTGTCACACTACCATCCTTAACCCCTTCAGGAAGCATTTCGGAAAGGCTAGTAACAGAGTTATTCATTTTTTCCTTGTTTTCCTTCACCACTCATTGTTGGGGAAAAGAGAACCTCTGAACTTAATATTACAGTAAGCCAGTTTCCCCAGATCACAACGTAATGATGGTTAATAGCAAATGCTCACCTATTAGAAAGTGACCAAGTGAATATACACTGGTATAATAAACTATATGTATATATATTCACCATATATATGTAACTTTGAAAATAGTTCAAAGAAGAATAAAATACAAATGAAATATTGACATACTTATGCCATAAACTATTGAGAAAGTTTCTGGCTCTTTAAGTTGTTTGAAACACAAAGAACAACCGAGAGAGGTCCTTTCTATAGAAGCACATGGTATAAAATGCTAAAATGGCTGAGAGAAACACAACAACAACTTTTTCTTTATTTTGAATATTGTTTGAGCCATTTCACAACATGATTTTTACATTAAAATGTTAAAACAGATGGATACTGGAGGATATTGAGACTTGGAGTCTTCCTACAAAGGTAAAGACCAAACACCTTCTCCTGATAAATAAAAACAAAAAATTAAATTGTCTGATTTTATTTGGCACTTCTCCATTTCACATAAACTATATTCAGCCAAAAATACAGTGTTTGTTCTTCTTAGGTAATAGTAGAGGATCCAGAAGAAAAAGGAAAGATGCTATAATTTTCATAGATAAAGGAAACATAAATGTATTAAGTATAAATTAACTAGTAATTATTCCCTAGCATAATTCTAGAATTGTTTATTAAATGAAAAATATGATAATTGGATGAAATAGACAAACTAGTGTTAGCAGCAGACAAATTCATAGGCAGATAGGAGCAGGTGTCTGGTGAAACCTGACCTTCAAACCAAAGATAGCCTGAAGCATGAAAACCGGGCTGCCAGTTTCCAGTAGAATCCACAACCTGGAGTGAGAACTTCATTGATACCTTTCACCCAATTAAATGGTGGTTTCTAGGCCCACCCATGGACCGATCAGCATGCAATTCTTCTTGCCCATGGACCAGTCAGCATGCACTTCCTCCATTCTGAGCCCATAAAAACCTGAGACTCAGCCACACATTGGGACTACCCACCTGCAGGTAGCAGCTTCTCACTTCGGGTCTCCTCCCTGCTGAGAACTGTTCTGTCACTCAATAAAACTCTTCTCTGCCTTGCTCACACACCAGTTGTTCATGTAACCTCATTCTTCCAGGACAGTGAGACAAGAACTCAAGACCTGTGCAATGGCAGGTGCAAAAAGGTCTGTACACTTTTCTGGCCAGCTCGCGGAGCTGCGGGTGGTAACATACTTCCCTTTGTTGGACTGCAGAAGTGAACAGCTGCAACCCTTTTGGGATACCAGACCTTGGGATTCACCCAGCCAGACCTGTAACACTATAGACCTCCCACCCTCTGCACTGGGTGGCTGCCCCATGTGAGAGGAAGTTGAGGTAGGGCCAGGCCAGCCTGGGAATTGTGGGCCAGAGTGAGATGATGGGACTGAACTAGCTGAAACACGCTCCCTCTGCTCACTGAGCTGTGGGCAGTGGGTGCAAGAGAGCTGTAGCACAATCCCTGACCCCCTTGGGACTCTGCAGTTGCTGGTCCCTGCAGCAGAAGCCACTTGCAGTACACTTGGTCCAGCTGCACCTTTGCATGAAGCCAGTGTCTGGGCTGGTGCCTGGAGCTGCCCACCCAGCCACAGCAGCCAGTGTGCCTGGCTATGTATAGTGGCTGGATCCTGCACTTGCTCACTCATACACACCTCGTCACGCAGCACCTGGCTCTCCCTTGGTGGGCATGGGATCCAGACCGGTAGCATGAGCTGAGTGAAGCATGCCAGGCCAAATGGGTGGAACAAACCCAGCATGTGCAAGCAAAACTTAAGAAGAGGCATTGCTGGTTAGAGGTTTCCAGCTGGCAAAGCAACACCTGAAGAATCTCGTGACACTAGAAATGAGCATATGTTTTCTCAAAAGAAATCATGCAACTTTTGTTTTCTTTTCTATTTGTCAATGCATTGTCAAAATTTTAGTGTGGGGAAGATAGAAGACAACCCTTCAAAAAAATCTTTATGATTTTGTGAATATTATGTATGTTATATCAATGCATGATTTAGCTAAATGTATTCTTAACTTGTTAACAGTTTACATAAAAGATTTTTGGCCAGGTGTGGTGGCTCATGCCTGTAACCCCAGCACTTTGAGAGGCCAAGGTGGGTGGATCACCTGAGGTGAGAAGTTTGAGACCAGCCTGACCAACATAGTGAAACCCCATCTCTACTAAAAATACAAAATTAGCTGGGTGTGTTGGCAGTCAACTGTAATCCCAGCTACGTGGGAGCCTGAGGTGGGAGAATCACTTGAACCCAGGAGGCAGAGGTTGTAGTGAACCGAAATCATGCCATTACACTCCAGCCTGGGCAATAAGAGTGAAACCTTGTCTCAAAAAAAAAAAAGGTTTTTTTTGAAGGTCAACATTAAGGTGAGAGGACATCTCCAGTAAAAACTTTTTTTCTATTATAATGACTACAATTATTAATGTCTTCAATTTAAAAAAATAAAGTATACTTCCCAAATTTGCATTTTTTTGTATTTATTCAGCAAACATTTAATTTATTAACTGCCTAGTTCAAAGACAAAGAAGAGACAATTCTCATCCTTGAGAAACTCAGAGACTAGTAGGGAGGACAGACATACATAAAAACCTACCATAAAATGTGAAAGTGCTATAATGAATGCATGTGTCTGTGATTCAGTGGGAAAACTAATGCATTATATGACAGAAGTGATGGATTGATTACAAGATCAATAAGAATCAATAGTGTGATGACTGCAAAAAAAAAAATCAAACAAAATTTTAGCCTGGAGTTTTTTATGCTTAGCACTCAAAATGAAGAAGAAAAACCTTTTAAAATACAATTTACAAATTTGACCACATCTGGACTGTTCTAACTCTGAGTAGAACTTTCAAAATGGTATCTGGGTTACCAAAGGTTTGTGACGTGATAATACTGAGTTATAAAGAAAATGGAACTGTTTAGCACAGAAAAATGTTTTACAGGGCACATAGATACATGAGAATCATCTTTAAAATTTGAAGAGCTGTCATATTAAAAAATACATATATTTCCCCCCCACTGTAGAACTAAGGTATCCTGAAATGTTGCAGGAAAGAAATTTTTGATATGACACAAAGTACTGTTCTGTTTTCTAATAAATAGAACTATTCAGGAATTAAAAGAGCTTCTAAACTTACTCTTTCTGAATGCTCTCAATTTAGAGATGGCATATGATTTGTCAGGGTTGTTACAGCGTGACTTGATGCATTGGGTGGGAGAGGGAACTAAAGCTCATCTCTTTTCCTCTCTCTCTCACACACACAGACATACACAGACACACACACACAAATCAAACATGAATTTATTTGCTCAAACATTCTCAACATTCACATATGCACACAGTAGATTATATCAACAAAGACACAGTAACTGTGTGCAGAAGAGATTATTGGAATGGCCTGCTTAATCTTTGAAACTGGAACTATTATTTAGGCAGGGAAAATATTAGGACCTCTAGAATCGTAGCTTATAGTAGTAGCATCTGATCTGTCTTGCTATGAATTTCTGTTTTATTTTTCACCTGATCCTTATTTACAGACTCTTGCCACGTTCCCTAGTCCCAAACCCATTCTCCCAGTTTGATTTCTATTTACAGCCATGTTTTAAAAATGTGTTTGTTTGTTTACTTGTTTTTAAACCTGTGTCTGAGTTCTCATCATTGAAATCTGCTTAGTTCCCCAACTTTTCTAAGATCCCATCATCCCTGTTTTCTAATCCACTACTCCTAAGTACTTAGTTGCTGCATTTTTAGACTGATAATGATGCCTATGTCCCACTTGTTTGTTATTGGTCTTTCCTGGAACCAGTTTCCTCTTTTTTATATTAGTGTTGGTTTCTGAGCAGGTCTCCCCAGCATTATTGAACCTTTTTTTAATTATACTTTAAGTTCTAGGGTACATGTGCACAATATGCAGGTTTGTTACATATGTATACATGTGGCATGTTGGTGTGCTGCGCCCATTAACTAGTCATTTACATTAGGTATATCTCCTAGTACTATCCCTCCCCCCTCCCCCCACCCCACAACAGGCCCCAGTGCGTGATGTTCCCCTTCCTGTGTCCAAGTGTTCTCATTGTCTTGAACCATTTTTGAAGGTTACTTAAAGTCCCGGGTATTGGCCTCCTGCCTCTCGCTGTAAATATAATAGTATAAACTTAAAGATGGAATGACCAAAGTAATATAAAACCTCATATAGCAGTAAAAACCTAATACTGTAGGAAAGTGGAATAAAGAATTTAGATAATTAAATTACTTACAATTAGAAGAGACAAGAAAATGGAAGAATTTTCACAAATATGAAGACTAATACATTTAAATCGAGAGTGTTTTTAGATCACTTATATGGCTTCCTCAGTAATCACTAAATTCTTTATATCATTTGTCATATATTTTTACATCAATTAGCCAAGTATATATGTTTGTATTATTTTAATTGTAAGTGACATATGCCAAAATGTGAAATTGGCTGAGCGTAAGTAGGTTTGGAGGAGCAAGGTTCTTTCTGTTACAGAAACTTATTTTGATATAGCAACAAAACAGTTATTTTGCTATTAGGTTAGTGCAAAAGTATTGCGGTTTTTGTCATTGAAAGTAATGGTAAAAACTGCAATTGCTTTTGCACCAACCTAATATTTTCTACAGCGTGTGGGGACTCAGACTCTTGAAGCTGCAGCATTCGAAAACCTGGTAGAAAAAAGTGAGGATATAAGTTTGCATTAATTTCAATTTGTTATTTTTTGTGTGTGGTCTTAATAGAAAAAGACAAGTTCTCCTGAAAAGTAGCACCTATTAGCAAAGATGATTTTAATTTTTTTAAAGAGGCAAGGATTGTTAGTCAGTTTTTATTAGGTAAGTCTAGTAATAACCCCTACATTTCAATGTCATATATTAGTAGAGGCTTATAGGCCAGGCACAGTGGCTCATACCTGTAATCCTAGCACTTTGGGAGGCTGAGGCTGGAGGATCCCGAGGTTGATCGAGACCAGCCTGGCCGACATGGTGAAACCCCATCTCTACTAAACATACAAAAATTAGCTAGGTGTAGTGGTGTGCATCTGTAGTCCCAGCTACTCGGGAGGCCGAGGCAAGGGAATCGCTTGAACCCGGGAGGCAGAGGTTGCAGTGAGCCAAGATTGTGCCACTGCATTCCAGCCTGGCAAAAAAGTGAGACTCTGTCTCAAATTAAAGCAAACAAAAAAAAAAGTTTTGTAGCTAATTCATGTGACATGTTGGCTATATGTTGACTACAGATGTGCAGCTCTACATCACTTGACTTTTAACCTGGGGTCCAGTCTAGGGGTGTAGCTTTTACTTTGGTTGTGTGTCCGAAGGAAAAGGGACCAGGATGGGCCATGTCATGGCTCTTCCAAACTACTGATTAGGTGTGGCATCCCTTAATTCTATTCATATTCTATTGGCTAGAAACCTAAGTCACATGACCACAGGGCAGGGAAGCACACTACTTAAATGAGGGTAGGAACAGCCTGGAATATGTAATCTCTTTATCGATAAGGAAGGAAATAATTAAAACAAAAATAATAATCTACTGTCTGCTATCTAGCTTTCATGTATTGATTTCCTAACTCTGCATGCAAACCACATTTACACATATATAGGGAAGATGCCATAAAACTTCTATTCCATCAAGACTCAGATTTGAAGTAAAGGATTTGGAGTTAGCATATACATTAGGTCTGGATGTGGCTCTTTCTCATCTGGATACCTAAAAACTAAAGTATGAGAACATAGAATGGTAAAGGAGGGACGGGTATCTTCTATAAATACTTATCTTTTTCTTCAGAAAATGCAAGTTAATAATTACTAATCCATAAGAAATCTAAAAATATTTTGGGAAAGATGTTTTAAGAACCCTCTCTCCTGGTTGCAGAATATGTTTCTTTTTAATGCCCAGATTCTACTCCCTGTGATTAGCTCTAGGATTTTTCCACCAGGAGGCTCTTCATTGTCCATTTTATTTTTGGACAAATTTGAAGGAGACATTGGAGAATAGGCTATCCTTGGGGGCTGATCATCTTTCCTAGGTAGCTTTCTGTTCACAACTTTTGATGTCTCACACAAAATCTACCTTCTTTAGGAAAAAATGATGATGAAATACAATAGGTCATTCAGGTGGTATTAACAGTGCCAAGCCACCCTCTGATCACAGTTTCAAATTACCTTTGTGCAGAGGCCATAAAATTGAGATCAAGAGATGGACAAGGCACCTATTACTAGACAGATCAAAATACCCTGGCTACAATCAGCATTCGGTCTGTGATTTGACATGTTCACTTTGGTTAGAAGCCCAAGGAACTGATTAGAAACAAATACTGAAAGCAACTAAGCGACAATTAATAGAATTATACTATCAGGCAAGCCACAAGCTGAGGAAAGAGAAACTAATTGTTGCTCAGATTGTATAAAAAGCTCTGCATCTGCATACTACCAACAGTAAGTGAACTGTTGAAGAAGAGTAGACCCTGAAAGATGAGACCTCAGAAGAGGCATTCTTTATAGGATCCATTTTAGAAATTGCAATGGAGGGCAAATGAAACATAGGTTCATCACATATCAGAAGCCTATGAAAATGGGTTTTCTGCCATTGCAATTAAAGGAATATTAAATAAGATAAAATTTCCCCCATTATACCTACTTTTATTAATTATCTAAAAAGTACATTAGGTATCAAGATATAAGTATTAATTCTTTAAATTGCAAACAAGTTTCTTATTTTATGGATTTTTTTTCTTTCTTCTGCAGAGAACTATAGCAGGTAGAGAAATGTTGACAAAGATGTACACTGTCCTCAGTTGGGCACATGGTAGGTGTAGTAGATTGCAAAAATTATTGAAATTTTTCATCCTTCTATGTAATCAGGACTTTTGCTATGTGTCACAGTTTCTTTTACTAAAGAGACACAGTATATTTTTCTTCATCTTGGATTTCTGTTTGACTATATGACTTGCTTTGGTCATTTTTTTAAAACAAAGAATTGTCACTGTGTCAGTTCCAAGTCTAGATGTTAGAGAGACTTTCATATATCTGCTTATCTCACTGCACTTCTACCTTTGTTATGAGCAGAACACTCCTGGGCAGACCCATGTCTCAAGAAGAAAGATATTGGAAGCAGACCTGAATTCCTGAGGTCTGACCAGGACCAATAACAATATCCAGTACCTTCCAACCAAGCCCATTCTAGATCAGTCATTATCCAGTACATCCACAGAAGCATATGCTTAATGAAATTGTATTGTGTGTTATATTTACTGTGGCTGTAATTAGGTAATACAGTAGAATGACATATCTCTGCACTTTTAAAACCCAGTCTTGGTCATGTGTATTCTTTTGCCAATAAAATTTTAGAAACCCAGTATGCAATTTGCAGATCTTTCTGTGCCATGACAACACAAGTATTCTGAAGAAAGGGAATTCCATTAATCTGGATCTTTATGTGAAGAAAAGATAAAGCAGAACCAAGATAGGTCTGCCATTGAAAAACACATATTGTTATTAGACCAACCTAACTGGTAAAATAAGTGTGTTTTCTTTTCTTTGCAAAATATTTAAGGGTAGAAAAATAAAATGTAACATAGTCTAAAATAAGATGATTGTTATTAAAATATTATGGAAGGACTTCTTTTCCAAAGAAGAACTGACAATAACAAAATAATTGGTAGGCTGGGCGAGGTGGCTTGTGCCTATAATCCCAGCAGCACATTGAGAGGCTGAGGCAGGCAGATTGCTTGAGCTCAGAATTTTGAGACCAGCCTGGGCAACAAGGCAAGACCCTGTCTCTACAAAAAATACAAAATTAGCTGGGTGTGGTGGCGCATGCCTGTAGTCCCAGCTACTTGGGAGGCTGAGGTGAAAGGATCGCTTGATTTCAGGAGTGGGAGGCTACAGTTAACTGTGATCCCACCACTGCACTCCAGTCTGGCCAACAGAGTGAAACCTTGTTTCAGAAAAACAAAACAAAACAAAACAAAAATAATTGGTTATGAAAATACTTGGTCAATTGAAAATAGTATGACATAAAAATAAGTATGCACTTTCTGCATGTTCTGATGAAGAATTTTAAATCTAATCTCATGGTTGTATACTCTGAATGAATGATAATGGTTTATTTTCTCTAAGCAGGCAATTAGAACATTTTAATGGTACGTAAGGGGCTTTATTTAGCTCACAAAACTATATTGAGTATTGATTTTTTTGTACCTGCTTCCTTATAAAATAAAAATCTAGCCTTAAAAAATAAATTTGATTCTACTATATCCTAAATAGTGGGGAAAAAAATCAATGTTACAAAAACATATGGATGGTTAAGGACAGTTACCCAGAAACAAGAAGAACATACACCTGCATAAACCAGGTGCTAAAATAAATTGCTCTTTCATAAATATTTAATATGTGTCATCCTCTATGTTAAGCACTGTGCATTCATTATCTCATTCATAATTGAGTTAAGTATGATAATCACCAGTTTTAGACCATGATAAGGGGGGACCCATGCCCTTTAGTTGGGGCACTCATGCTTTAGCAGGCTCCACTCTGTCTTCTGGACACGTCCCTCTTTCCAAGGTGCAAGGAGACTGAGGTATCAAATGTATGTGCCTCCTTGTAGCTCATATTCTGCATTTTAGACTATGATTTAAGTAAAACTATTTTGAAACTCTTTGTCCAAAATATCCCACATCTACTTTCAAGGCTTGGGCAATCCTCTTAGGGGTGTCCATCCTTCCAAGTATTTACTATGTTGCCAGGGTGTGTGTGCACGATTCTAGGTCCACATGATGTCCAAGAGGCAGCTGCTGGAGGAGACTGCAGATGCAGGTTGGTGGTTCTGGCTGTACCCTCACATGTGCTTTTAAGACCCTACATGGTCCATGAAAGTGCCAGGTGCTAGGTGTCAAAGAGGAATGAGCTGGACTCAGGCTGAACTTCCTTGACTCACTACCTATGACATAGGATACCAATGAGTTCCAATATTTTTTATTTAAAATCTGACCTATCGGGCAACCCGCTCGGGTCTCCTTCCATGCTGTGGAAGCTTTGTTCTTTCACTCTCCACAATAAATCTTGCTGCTGCTCAAAAAAAAAAAAAAAAAATGACCTATCAAGTCATCTCAAAAGTACTGTATTTATGATGGTAGAAGGGTAAAAATCTTATTAACAGTTTATTAGTTTGATTTGTAACTTTAAAAAAGATACCTGAACTGTGGGTTTCCATTAGTACTACTGCCCCATTGTACATATGAAAAGACTGGGGCTTAGATTAAGCCAATTGCCCAATTTCACATACCTATTAAAGGACAGAGCAGGAACTAAAGTGAAAACCTACAGGATTGTAAAGCTCTGTGTGCTTGCCCAGTTGAATCTCACACTTTCTGTGAATGAAATGATGAAACAAAGCAGGTATAGATTTGAGGGATATAAGAAGGATGACAAGTTGTTTAATGTTACCAATTATGGTACAGATTATACATACATCTACTTGGGAGATGTCTTAGCTCAAACCTTTCAGTGATTTATCTGCTTTACCACAGCTAATCTGAAATCTCCAGATTTTTAGTAAAACTGTATAACTCATTGACCTTAGTGGCTATATATATGTGTGTGTGTGTGTGTATGTATGTGTGTGTGTGTATGTGTGTGTGTGTATATATATATACATATATATATATATATATATTTTTTTTTTTTTTTTGAGACGGAGTCTCGCTCTGTTGCCCAGGCTGGAGTGCAGTGGCGAGATCTTGGCTCACTGCAAGCTGCGCCTCCCCGGTCCACACCATTCTCCTG
Source organism: Homo sapiens (assembly GCF_000001405.40). NCBI lineage: Eukaryota > Metazoa > Chordata > Mammalia > Primates > Hominidae > Homo > Homo sapiens. The sequence continues at coordinate 82,575,580 of NC_000003.12, forward strand.
CCTCAGCCGCCCGAGCAGCTGGGACTACAGGCGCCCGCCACCACGCCCAGCTAATTTTTTGTATTTTTAGTAGAGTCCGGGTTTCGCCATGTTCAGTGGCTATATTTTTTATTTAACAAACAAAATAACTTTGTATCATTTGACCTCAGTGGCTATATTTTTCATTTAAAAAACAAAACAACTTTATACCTCTAATGCCTTACACAGTGCCAAACACAAAGTAGGTATTCAATTAATAATATCACATCTCTCTTAAAAAGATATAATCTCATAGAAGACATGTTTCTACCTTCATATGTTTACATAAATGAATAAAATAATAAATTAAAAAAATTATTAGTGGCCGGGAGCAGTGGCTCATGCCTGTAATCCCAGCACTTTGGGAGGCCAAGGTGCGCAGATCACGAGGTCAGGCATTTGAGACCAGCCTGGCCAACATGATGAAACCCCGTCTCTACTAAAAATACAAAAATTAGCCAGGCATGGTGACAGGCACCTGGAATCCCAGCTACTCGGGAGGCTGAGGCAAGAGAATTGATTGAACCCAGGAGGCAGAGGTTGTAGTGAGCCTAGATCGCGCCACTGCACTCCAGCCTGGGCGACAGAGCAAGACTCCATCTCAAAAAGAAAAAAAAATAAAAATTATTAGTAATTACTTCCACCATCTGCTCTGAAATTATTAAAATCCTGTAATAAAAACAACAAGCCTCAGTAGGATTTACAAATATTTCATTGTTTTACCAAGAAACAGTGATAAATTTGGTAGATTTGGGATAATTACATTGTCATCTGTTTAATGTTAATTTTAAGCCACTAGTCCAAAAGGGAGACTAAGAAATCTTGAATAAAATAACTACTTTTCATAAGCTAAATATTTTATTTTGTTCATTTATTCAAATAAAATCTATCATTTCTCCATTCTTTCAATAATTTTCATTTTCAAGCATATATTATGATAGTCACTATGTAGTTGTAGTCAAATATGATAATTTCTTTAAAATTTCCTTAACATGCAACAATCATTATAAGAGCATCAAATTTGATTTTTAAAATTCAACAAGAAAAATTCTGATTTTCGATTTAAATAAATTATATTTAAGCTTTATGAAATACTTAACCTGCATTAGACATGGTTTGCATCAATTACCATATTTTAAAGTATATGTTTTCAAATATTAAACTAAATATAGTTTTATTCTTGAGTATTATCACTTAATGCTTCAAAATCAATTATATATGCAATGAAAAATTTTAAAGGATAGTTTATTATAATTAAAAGTTTAAAAATGCCAAATTATTATGAAATAGACGGCAGCAAATTTTTGTATATTCATTTTACTCAGCTGCAAAATGCAAATGAAATGTATCTTTTTTTGTATGTGGAGCTACTATGTTATTTTGTTCCTTCTTTGTACATACATCTGAATCTAGCAAACTGTCATCTCTTGGGAAACTATTATTTAAAAATTTATTAAAATATTATGTTTTATTAAATACATTTAGGAACTACTCAATCTGATATTTCCTTTCAGAGACTGAGTTGTAAGCAAAAGTATATATATACTATCAGAAAAATTCTACACTATAAAATATACTCATATTTTCCTAATTTCTCCATTCATGAAACAGTTTTTTTGGTGAGCATTTACCTCCATATGTCATTGTAAAATTTATTAACTAAATAAGTTAAATTTATAAGTTGTTAATTGAAAATGATTTCAAACAAGTTTCTAATATTGCAGAACCATTTCAGAATACTCCTATGCTAGCTTTCAATCAAGTCAGGATAATTGTTTTCATTTTAAGTACAAAATAGTTGCTTAGCTGTTTCTGTTTCTTACAATATTTTAACATTTTTTGAAGTACATTTACATCAGTAGAGTATCAAATTTGACCAACTTCTTTACCCATTGGATTCGAAATTACTCACTAATTAACGTTATGTTTACACCTCCCCACCCCCCGCACATTGTCTTTGAAGTGTATTTTGACATATTAAAACCCACCCTTTTCTAATGTTATGTTTCAAATATGAAATGCTTTTTTCCCAAGCACAGCTTTTCTAGTAAACAAAATACAAATAAGTGATTATTTGTAGCCTTTCTGACATGCATTTATACATTTCAAACTGTAGGTGCAGAATGTCAAAGTAATGGCATGCAAAATAAAAAAGAAAAAGTTTCTTACGGATTCCTTCAAAAATAGACAGGAGTCATAGGAAGAAAGTGATAGGGATTGATTGCCCACAAAGTAGATATGTGTATAATAAACTGAAAATAGTTACAATGAGATCTCAGTGGGTTTGAAGGAAAGCATATAGGTCAGTGTTTTGAATCAGGGGTACACATCAATAATTTCTAAGGAGCTTTTAAAAATAAATGTGCTCAGGCCAAGTGCGCGGTGGCTGACCTCAGTAATTCCAGCACTTTTGGAAGCTGAGGTGGGCGGGTCACTTGGCCCAGGAGTTGGAGACCAGCCCGGGCAATCTGGTGAAACCCCATCTCTACAAAAAATTAGCCGGGTGTGTGGCACATGCCTGTAGTCCAGCTACTCTGGAGGCTGAGGTGGGAGGATTATCTGAGCCAGGGAGGTTGAGACTGCAGTGAGCCGAGATCACGCCACTGCACTCCAGCCTGGGAGATGGAGCTAGACCATGTATCAAAAAAAAAAAAAAAAAAAAAAAAGTGGTTAGATCCTATCAGAAACTTACTGAAAAAATATCCCCTTGGGTCCACGAGAAAATGAAATATGTGAATTACAGTTAAAAAATTGTTTGAATGATATTTTAGGGGAAGTTCGATTTTACGTAGGTACTGACCATGCTCATTGGCTAGTAAATGAATAAAACACCCTTATACACATAATGACCCTAAGTGTTATCTAAATGACGTATGTCTTAAAAATTTTACTGCTTTTATACTTGCAGCTGAGTAATTACTTCAATATTGATTTCCTACATTGTTTTATTCTTTCCAAAAACAAAAGCACTCTTCTATACTTCAGCGTGCATATGACTGCCTCTCTGGTACTTTGGATGTGAACTCACTGTGATTTCTGAAACCACCCAAAAACTGCACTGACTTGAAATCATAGTTTAGCGAAAGCTCATTTGCAGCATCTCTCATCTCCAGAACATAAAGTTGTTTCAAGTGAATAGTATCATAGAATTGAAATCAGAGTATTGCCTGGTCACCCTCAGTGTCAAACAATGACTAAACAAAAGACTGCGACAAAATGTATTGATAGTTTCTTGTTTGTTGGGACCCCCCACCCCTTCATGGAGAGGAAAACTGAGGTACAAAGGGCTTAAGTTGCCAAGGCCATTAATAGTAACACCAATAGAGCTGGCATTTAAATCTAGAAAGTCTGACTTGGAAGTTTATGCTTATAATCATTATGCAAAGCAGAATACTCTGTGTATTTTTCAAATGACTGGAAGAACCCCAGAAAACCTAATCATATTACCTAAAGGTCATATGGTATAAAAATGATATTTTCTTTTACTGTGCTCTTGGAGCTGTAGCACACCACCTCTCTCATTAATCCTTTATTTCAAGCACAATGTCATCTAGGATCTGCACATTCTTCCTGCTACTTTGGCTGTGCTGTAGCACTTAAGATTTGTTATTTCTTTTTTTTTTTTTTTTGAGACGGAGTCTGGCTCTGTCGCTCAGGCTGGAGTGCTGTGGCACGATCTAGGCTCACTGCAAGCTCCGCCTCCCGGGTTGATGCCATTCTCCTGCCTCAGCCTCCGGAGTAGCTGGGACTACAGGCGCCCATCTCCACGCCCGGCTAATTTTTTTTGTATTTTTAGTAGAGACGGGGTTTCACTCTGTCAGCCAGGATGGTCTCGATCTCCTGACCTCGTGATCGCCCGCCTTGGCCTCCCAAAGTGCTGGGATTACAGGTGTGAGCCACCACGCCTAGCCAAGATTTGTTATTTCTATTCGCTTATTCTCTGCATTGAATCATAGCTGTCCGGAGCTTCCAGCCTTCAGAGGCGAAGCTTTTCTGTGTTCCAAATAAACAAGACTAATTTGATATACCGCTATTATTTTAAAAAGGAAGAAAAGCTATCACTCCATAAGGAAACAAATGCATATTCTAAACACAAACTGCTGAAATTTGTTAGAATGCCTAATAAACTATGATAGTAAGAAACTAACACCTTTGCTGATGGTTAGAAGAACAGAGTATTTCCTAGTTCTAAGCAACTGGTAATACCTACTGAGGTCTGGAACAGAATTGCTGTTTACACACAGATGGTCAAGAGACCAAGGACAAAATATGGGGAATGGGAGATCCTTAACGCCAGAACAGGATAGATAATAATCTCAGTTTACAGCACTTTTTATCTTCCATTCCTTGGTTTAATGAGAAATTCAAACTACTTAGCCACCTACTTATTTTGCCATTGGTCTCAACATAAGGCTGACATTAAAGAAAAAACACTTTCCTTGGTTTCAAATATATTTATTTATTATAACATATTTAGAAAATAAACGTTTCAATTGCTGGTAATTTTTTTTGTCTATGCCTTTGCTTAAATTGACATTTATATTTGACTGATCATTAAGAGATCTTTATGTAACATATGTATATATTTGATGAGTAAAAGATTTTATGTATTATATATATTTTGCTAATTATTTTTAGTTTGCTCAACTTTTGTTTTCACTTTAAATATTTTGATGTGTAGTTCTTAATATTTTTGTGGCCCAAAACACAATTTTTAAAATTGATTGTACACATAGAAACGCCTTTCTCTTTCTGAAAGCAGAGTGAAAATTCATCTACATCTTCTTGTAGTCATTTTTAGGCATTTCCTTTGTAAGTTCATCTATGATTTGTCCTATTGAATTGTAGCCAGTTGCTTTGACCTGAATTTCTTCCCTCTTGTACTTTATACAAAAAAAAAAAAAAAAAAAAAATCACAGTTTTTTTCCAAATAGCTTTAGTTACAGGGGAACAGTAACTGATTCTGATGTTTACATGAAGAGCTATTTCTGATTTATTTTCTTGTCCTTGAAAACTACTTAAATTCTTTATGTTTTGAAACAAGGGAGAGAGAGGGGAATGTTTGAAAGTTTAATAATAATTAATTGGTATTTATATTTATTACTATACATGTAATTAATATAATGCAACAATATATAAAGAAAACATTGTTTTCAACAAGATAATATTTAAGTTAGTAATATGAAGTTTCATACTACAGGAAGTTACTGGCAGAAGGACATATACATTTTTCATTACTGCATATTTAATTTGGTAATTATCACCATAAAGTTGTAAAGGAATCACTTTGTGATAAAATAAGCTTACCTTCAAAAAAAGGTATTCATTTACTTAAAAAAAGGATAAAATAATGATTAAGAAAAGTTCTCCACTTCTCTGCTCAACATTCTCCAAGCACATGATAATATAAGATATAAATACAATCGTGATTTTCTGCTGAGAAAACTTTTACGTTTGTAAGTAATTGCTCTTTCTCTCTTCTCCCTCACCTGTCCACACACACATATCCTCACGCTCCCATCCATAACATAGTGCCTGGTTTAGATTAAATCGAGCATTAAGCAATGTTGAGGAATTATTGTGATTATAGCAAAGACAATATATTTTAAAGAAAAAAAGAGTGAGCCAGAATTCAATGCTCTTGTGCCTTAAAAGTAGTCATTTAATAACCGTAATTGCTTACTGTCCAGAAAAAAATGTCAAACTGTTGTAGGACTTTCTCCTTAGTTCAGCTAAAAACAGTGTCCTTGTCACACAACCATGAGATTAGGCTCGTAGACACTTTGAAGGGTGAGAAAAATGGAATTTATTGGGAAAAAAGGAAAAAAAGTGGGGGAATCAGAGACTGTCAGCAAAGCAAGAGTTCTGCTAGCTGGTTTCCTGCCTCACACATTGAATCCCAGGTACCACCAGGAACAGGAGATACCAGGCTCCTTTCCCCTGCAAAGGGTGCAGACTTACCAAGGCTCCACCCCGGTGCAGACTCCTCCCATGCACACTGTAGTTGAAGCTTCTGCTAGGGAGCCCTTTATACTTGGCTGTCTCAAAATTATTTTGGGACTGTCACATTTTGACGGACTATTTTGATTGAAAAATATGTTTCAGTAACCATAACTTTCTTCTGCCCAAACTTATTTTAATATTTAAAAACTTCAGATATATTCTAAATTAAAGAGCTACACTTAATTATAAAAAGTAAATGTTTGCTTAAAATTAATTTGCATACATAAACATTTCACAAAAATTTTACGGTGTTTCTATAAAATTTCTACAAATTCCAAATAAAATTAAGATCTCTATCTAGATTACTTCAGAAAAATATATTGCTGTCTAGAAAGTAAATGGTCCTTTAGATGTTTGGTATCCAACTTGACTATTTATCAATTTTCCAGAAAACTGCTTATACTTTGCCTTCCTTTTCAATATTTATATTAGTGTTTTAGATTTAAAAGTGATTTTCTTGTAGCAAGTATGACACTATGTTAAGGAAGAAAATGTGTAAATTCACATTGCTTAGTAACAAGCTTATGTTAATATTTTACACCTCAACCATGAAAGAAAGTGGTATTAAGCTTACATATAATTTATCCAGTTAATTTACAGAAACACCTCTCCATAATAAAAGAAGCTTCACTTCACAGCTTTTATTGTCAGAAAATATCGTTTATATTACCTATAAGGATATTATAATATTTGATCTAGATTATTATATTTGTAAGAATTGCCTGTAATTTGGTTGTATTTTAATTAATACAGAATCAACTTAGATATGATAAAGCTAAATCCAATGAAATATATATGCTAGATCTTAAGATAAGGTTTAATTAATGATATTGCACACCAGATTCTATCCATCATATAAACTATTGTGATCAGTCATATCATACTGCAAATTGGCAAAGGAGGTTGTTGCAATAGTTGTTTTAGAGACCTTCAGATTTTCATTTTATACAGAGATATTTTTATATCTATATTAATTTTGTTAATGATAATTAAATAGCAAAAAACTGAAATATAATCAGATTTTATATACACAATCTACTTTACAAGAAAGATCCATAATAAAATAAATTCTCAAATTATTTTAGCTTGTTATTCTTTCCAACTTTATATTAGTTTTAGCTAAAATTAAGAATTTCCACCTAAAACATCTATAATCTCTTAGTAAATATGGAATACTTCTTAAGTATATCCTGACATGCTTTTACTAACTGGAAGTTCGTCATTTCTACTTAATCCTTCTGAACTTAACATTTTCATTATGGCTTATTTATATATACAGAGATAAATTTGTATTCAAAATAACATAATTTTTACTTGTATATTTCCTCATGCTAAGATGTATTTTACTTTTGGAAATAGGTTTAATGGATCTTTACTAACTATAATAATCTGTTTTCATGAGTTTCAAAGAGTATAGACTTTAATGTTGATGTATATTGATAATCACCTATTTTATATTGAACTTGTGATTGAAACTTAACTTTTTTTTACATTTTCCTAGCATTTTATTTGTTAATATATATTTTTCAGGGTGTCAGTGTATTCTTTTCCAATTTTTAAGCTTTCACATACATGGATGTTCTATTTATTTTTACCCTTGTTTTCTTAAATAATTTCTACAACTTGAACACTGTTCAAAGCATTTTGCTGTATTATTTATGTCCCAATATATGGTGCAGTATATACCTATACATTGTCAATTCAGGGAAATTACACCAGAGACATGACTATGTCATAGACATGACTATAGTCTATGACTATAGACACAAAAATCTGGCTCAACTCTCAGGTACTATCTGGACTTATGCTGGTACAATTTTTACTAATATATCCTGAAAGAAATTTTATTTGAGGAATAAAAATATTTTATATAGCTGACGTTCACTGAAGGGTTCTATTTAAAGTGCTGATTATAAGGAAAGTACATCAGTTGCTATTTCATTTATCTAAAAGATTTCTCTGTACATAGTTTTATTTTGTTTTATTTTTAGATGATTTTCTAAGGCAGTTGGCTTTCTAAGAAAACACTAATGTATCAATAATCCAATAGTTCATAGTTATATCTTCTTATGAAGAAAACATAAATATCTGAAGTTTGAAAATGGAAATCAACAATTAATAGTACCCTGTTTAAGAGAGATCAAATTTATCTTTCAAATTTTGACAAAAAAAATATAAAAGTGAATATGTGATATAATGGTGGATCAACTCTTAAGAAAGAAGTATTTTGCTCTCCCTCCCTCTCCCCCCCCCTCCCCCTCTCCCGCTCCCCACGGTCTCCCTCTCCCTCTCTTTCCACGGTCTCCCTCTGATGCCGAGCCGAAGCTGGACTGTACTGCCGCCATCTCGGCTCATTGCAACCTCCCTGCCTGATTCTCCTGCCTCAGCCTGCCGAGTGCCTGCGATTGCAGGTGCGCGCCGCACGCCTGACTGGCTTTTGTATTTTTTTGGTGGAGACGGGGTTTCGCTGTGTTGGCTGGGCTGGTCTCCAGCTCCTAACTGCGAGTGATCCGCCAGCCTCGGCCTCCCCAGGTGCCCGGATTGCAGACGGAGTCTCGTTCACTCAGTGCTCAATGGTGCCCAGGCTGGAGTGCAGTGGCGTGATCTGGGCTCGCAACAACCTCCACCTCCCAGCCGCCTGCCTTGGCCTCCCAAAGTGCGAGATTGCAGCCTCTGCCTGGCTGCCACCCCGTCTGGGAAGTGAGGAGCGTCTCTGCCTGGCCGCCCATCGTCTGGGATGTGAGGAGCCCCTCTGCCTGGCTGCCCAGTCTGGGAAGTGAGGAGCGCCTCTTCCCGGCCGCCATCCCATCTAGGAAGTGAGGAGCGTCTCTGCCCCGCCGCCCATCGTCTGAGATGTGGGGAGCGCCTCTGCCCCACCGCCCCGTCTGGGACGTGAGGAGCGCCTCTGCCCGGCCACGACCCTGTCTGGGAGGTGAGGAGAGTCTCTGCCTGGCTGCCCTGTCTGAGAAGTGAGGAGCTCCTCCGCCCGGCAGCCGCCCTGTCTGAGAAGTGAGAAGCCCCTCTGCCCGGCAGCCACCCCGTCTGGGAAGTGAGGAGTGTCTCCGCCCGGCAGCCACCCCGTCCAGGAGGGAGGTGGGGGTCAGCCCCCACCCGGCCAGCCGCCCCGTCAGGGAGGGAGGTGGGGGGTCAGCCCCCGCCTGGCCAGCCACCCCGTCCGGGAGGGAAGTGGGGGGTCAGCCCCTGCCCAGCCAGCCGCCCCATCTGGGAGGGAGGTGGGGGGTCAGCTCCTGCCGGGCCAGCCGCCCTGTCCGGGAGGGAGGTGGGGGGTCAGCCCCCGCCCAGCCAGCCGCCCCGTCCGGGAGGGAAGTGGGGGGTCAGCCCCTGCCCGGCCAGCCGCCCTGTCCGGGAGGGAGGTGGGGGGTCAGTCCCTGCCCGGCCAGCCGCCCTGTCCAGGAGGGAGGTGGGGGGTCAGCCCCCGCCCGGCCAGCCGCCCCATCCGGGAGGGAGGTGGGGGGGCGCCTCCACCCGGCCAGCCGCCCCGTCCGGGAGGTGGGGGGCGCCTCTGCCCGGCCGTCCCTTCTGGGAAGTGAGGAACCCCTCTGCCTGGCCACCACCCCGTCTGGGAGGTGTACCCAACAGCTCATTGAGAACGGGCCTTGATGACAATGGCGGTTTCGTGGAACAGAAAAGGGGGAAAGGTGGGGAAAAGATTGAGAAATCAGATGGTTGCTGTGTGTGTGTAGAAAGAAGTAGACATGGGAGACTTTTCATTTTGTTCTGTACTAAGAAAAATTCTTCTGCCTTGGGATCCTGCTGATCTATGACCTTACCCCCAACCCTGTGCTCTCTGAAACATGTGCTGTGTCCACTCAGGGTTAAATGGATTAAGGGCAGTGCAAGATGTGCTTTGTTAAACAGATGCTTGAAGGCAGCATGCTCGTTAAGAGTCATCACCACTCCCTAATCTCAAGTACCCAGGGACACAAACACTGCGGAAGGCCGCAGGGTCCTCTGCCTAGGAAAACCAGAGACCTTTGTTCACTTGTTTATCTGCTGACCTTCCCTCCACTATTGTCCTATGACCCTGCCAAATCCCCCTCTGCGAGAAACACCCAAGAATGATCAATTAAAAAAAAAAAAAAGAAATCAGTGGGAAATCCAGACTGCATAGAAGGAACTGTATATCTTGGCCTCTTTTAAGATTAAGACAATATCTACATAGGCCTTATTACAGTCAACATACTGTTCTTGTAACTGGAGAGCAGCCAAATCTTTCTTTCCAACTCACACTCAAGCTAAATTCCTAACTTCTAAAAACTGGCTGACTGGTTGGTAGGAAGAAACACTGCACCTTGACAATGTTCTTAGAGTCACTGTCCATGTTGTAACCTATTTAATTCTTGGATTCACAAACACTGGAGTCATTTCGTTATTATACTTTGATGGTGAAATCTGTACTCACCTCAAACACTTCCTCCTAGACTCACACAATTTCTCCCCTTCCCAAATATTCTTGGGGTCTGTCTTCAATTATAAATGCTCAGAATACGAGTTCCATCTTTTCATTTTCCCCACAGTTCTTTGCTCAGACTCAAATATTGCGTGTAATGCCACTGCCACTCGGTCGGCCTGGCAAATATTTATCTTTCAAGCTTATCCTGATCACCCTTCAAGAAGGCGAGCTATAGTAAGACATAATAAAATGATTGTTGTTTTTAAAAAAAAAAAAAAAAAAAGAAAGAAGTATTTTGAATCATTGGAAGGCTATGTAGTTTTAATCTTAGCTCATATTTTACTCATTCTTTGGTGATAGGTTCTTATGAAAATCTCTTCTATATATATAAAAAAAAGAAATTTTACAGGGCTATATCTGACCACAGAGGAGAAATCCAACATTTCAGTGATAATACCCGTAGTTGTTTGAAAAAAAATTAAAAGAAATCTAATTACCACGATTAAGAAAGTAATTGGAAGAGTTAAAATTGCTCAGTCTTGGTAATCATAAGCAGAATAGCCTGATATTCAACATTTCCAGCCACAGCTATTGCTTTATGAGATGACTGACATAAGAGTTACATCATTCTTGTTGAGAGAAGGATAACATTAGGACAAATAAGTGGCACTGACGAAATAATTACCTAGCTTGTTAAAACTAATCTGCATGATTAATGATTTTTTAAAGCAATGAGACTCTTATATGTGCCAATAAAGAAATCATAGAACACAATGGAGAGTAGTTTTGTGAAATGAATAGTCGTTTAAATAAAAAATTTTTCTTTTCTTTTTTAAAACAGTGCTTTAATTTTAAAATTTAAATAACAAAACTTCACTATAGAGGGTCCTTATAACTCCTCCATTTCAATTTTTTATCACTTATCACAGAAATCTAGACAGCAGTGGTACTTTTTTGTTATAATCTCACTGATATATAGGGTCAAGTAGTAGTCATTAGCAACATCCTTCATTTATTTCTCAGGTAATCACATCTCTGGAAATGTCCTTTCAAAAATATGTTTGATTATCTTTTTAAAATAGACTTTTAATTATCTTTTTAAAATAGACTATTCTCCTCTTTCTTCTGCTTTTGTTTTTTAACATTATGACTGCAAGTATTTGAAGGTCAAGATTATTTTCTTATTTTGTAAAGATATGTTGTGGTTAAAAAATAGACACAAAAGTTAGTGGTTTTGTAGGAAGTTAATTTGTTACCATCATTACATAAACAAATCTGCCCTCAGGATTACAGATCAGATGCTCCTCAACTGTGTTTGCTCAGCTCCAAGTGGTCACACACAAACCCAGACTCACAGAGGCTTTGCCATTGAAAAGCTGGGGCAGTTAAGGTCACTGCAGTTATCTCCATGCCAGTCAGCTAGAAAGGAGAAAGGGCATGGAGAATTTCATATGGGAGGTGCTTAGAAATCAGACCTAAAAGCAGGTAACATCATTTCCACTTAAGATGGATAACCAAGTCAACTTAACTTGCCAGGGCCTCCTCAGCTTTAGGACTGAAAGTAGATAGTCGTGGTAACCCCCTCAGTCACGGGCAAAGAAAGATGATTAGTCACCCTATTTTCACTCACTTTCCCCTGTGGAGAACTCAGTCCCATGGCCACACCTAAAGATAAGAGGACAAGGAATCTCAGAGATTGGCTCTACGGTTCAGAGAAGGAGGTGGACTATGGACTTGGTGGACTGCTGACAATGTCCTCCACAGAGGGCTCCATCGTATTAATCTTTCATCCAAAACCTCTACCTTGTTACTTGGCTTAGATAGAGCAAGAACTAAATAAATGTCAGTGAAATAAAATTAATGGCACAGGCATTGCTTTGCTCCTTTAAACTTAAAAAAAAAAAAAAAAACCTGAACAAATATACTTCTTTCTGTATTAAGCTCTAGTATAAGCCTTTGTTCAAAAAAAAATCTCTAACATAATGATTTGACATTATTAATGAAGTCAGCTTTCCATCCCAATGCTCGGTCTTCTCAGTCTCAATTAATCAGCTAGTCTTGAATTTAACAAAGTAGCAAAACATATTTTCCTTAAATGGCCTATTCACAATTATATTTAATCACTCCTTCCTTTTTTGATCTTGGAAGCTCATCCATTTTAGCTGAATGTCTAACACTTAATTGGCAGGATGCTCTAGTAGAAAGAACAAAAATATGCTAGACTTAGATGATCTCAGTGTTATCCCTACAGCTAGATGATGTTAAACATGTCACTTAAACTCTCTGGACCTAATTTTATTATCCTTCAAACTACAATATGCTATATAGTTATGCACTATATAACTGTTTTGCTCAATGAAAGACCACATATGCAATGGTGATCCCATTGATTATAGTGTCATATATTTATTGTACTTTTCTATGTGTAGATATGTTTAGATAACACAAATACTTACCGTTGTGTTACAATTGCCTACATAGGCTATATCATCTACTCTATGTGTATAGTACGTTATACCATCTAGGTATGTGTAAGTACACTCTATAATGTTTGCACCACAATAAAATTGCCGAAGGTTGCATTTCTCAGAACATAGCTCTGTCATTAAGCAACACATGACTGTATTAATAAAATGTCTTGTCCACTTAAAAGGGCTATGTTGAAAACAAAAATTAGACAATGTAAACAGAGTAGTAATGAACAGTAAAGTGTTATGAGGACATCGGCTCTCTTTAACCATAATGTCTACTTGTTGAATTGTGGAAAGCATTACGCTTGCATTTCAGAACTATAATGTAATGCAGATTTCAGGAATCTTTGCTTGTTAGCATTCTCTCATTATTGCAGGTAAAAATCAATAGTGAAACATCATGTTATTGGGACTTTTTTCTTTCCTAACACCTCAGAATAGAATAAATGATTTTTTTCCAAACTTGGAAAAACATTACTTTCATGCTTATTAAGAGAAAGTTGATAATTTTTAGTTACATCCAGACAACATATGCTTAAAAAATTACAGGATGCTGACTTATTAAGAAAAAGATTTTTTAAGTGATAAATTTGTTTATATAATATAAAATTATCTGCCCCAATTAAAAAGTGTTAAGAAAAAATATATATTAATATATGAGAATAATTGATACTATAGAATAGATTTTAGTCCATGCATAAGGCAAGCATTTTTATGTCTCAATTTCTTTGCATTTGAATTGATCAGAAACACTTAAGACTACTGTGTGATAATATATTGAAAATGGAAGAAACATGTAGCAGAAGGCTAGTAGAAAAGGCAAGAGTAGGCTTAGAACAGTGGTTTTTAAGTTGTCTTTTGGGCAACTCAGAATACTTCATCTGCCAAACAGGGAGTAGAAGGTGAAACAGTAGCCAGGGCTAAAACTGCCGCATGTATTTCACTCATAGCAGTGCTGCTTTTATCTGATGTACATATGCTTAGGATAAAGAAATTTTACTCCTTTAAGGGGATTTTTAAAACACTTTTTTTTCAAATAAGTCTTTAAAACTTTTATTTATTAAAGAATGATCTACACATTGCAAAAATTTGATCAAGTGCCAATCAAGCATGCTGGAGAGAGTGTAAATGCATAATGAACTTTTGTAAACTACCTTATGTTTTTATATAGTGAAGGAGTGTCTAAGAAATATTCTAAAATGGAAAAAAGGTAAAAATACATAAACAGGAAAGAACGTTCATAAAGTTGAACACATAATCAGAATCAGCTGAAGTTGACTCATTCAGGATGAGAGAAAAGCCGCGAAGGAATACCTGAAGTAAAATGATGTCATGGCTCAGATCTGTCGTGACACTTGCCATGGTAACCACCACCTAGAGATGCAGCATCTTCCTGTCAAGGTGCTATGCTTAGAAGAATCACCAGGCAGATTAAAAAAGTCCTGGTATGGCAGGATAAATTAACTTATTGAGTCTGTTAGTTCAGGTAAATACTATCAGTAGTTAATACTGAAAGCCTGCTTCCTATGTGCCAGACAGCTTCTTAAGAATATACATTCAGTGTTTCATGCTGATATTTCAAAATTACTATTCCCGTGTGTGCTAGTCTATTTGGGTTGCTATATATCATAGAGAAGGTGGCTTATAAACAACAGACATTTATTTCTCACAGTTCTGGAAACTGAGTTCACATTTAAAGCCCCAGAAAATTCAGTCTGGTAAGGAAATTCAGTCAGGTAAATAAACTCAGAATGGTAAAGGTTCGTTTTCTGGTTCACAGGTCGTTGCCTTCTCACTGTGTCCTCACATGGTGGAAGAGGCAAAACAGTTCTCTTGCATCTCTTTTATAAAGGCACTTATTCCATTCATGAGGGCTGCACACTCATAGCCTAATCACCTGACTGAAAAACCCACCTCCAATTATGATCTTATAAGGTATTAGGTGTCACCATGTTAGTTTTTCCGGGGAGGGGACACAAACACTCAGTTCATAACACCATGTACTGAAAACAAGAGTAAATTTTAGAGAGTGTGTGTTTTTATTTTTTTTCCTAAGGCCACACAAATGGTAAGTGGTAAAGTCAAAATTTCAAATGGTTGGGACAAAGTTTTCAAACTCAATACTATATTTCCTTTTAAATTAATGTGATATTTCAATACCTTCCTCCAAAATAAAATTATTATTTTTTTACTCCATTTCCTCAAACCCAAAATGTCATGTTCTTTTACAGTTTTAAAAAGGTAGATTGGACAAATTTGTCACTTTGGATCCATTTTAATTGATAATTTGGAGGCAGCATAAGCCCAGTGTTTGTATTCAGGCAAGCTTGGATGAAGTTCCGAATCAATCTCTATTCTAACTTGTGATATAAGGACAATAAAATTTATTGTGAAGGAAGATTTTAAGGTGTAGATGATATAACACATAAAAGTGTTAAGTCAGGGGCCTGGTAGCTCTATAAATGTGCTTGCTCTCCTTAATTTCGTGGTTATGTTATATTCACAATGTCCTCTGTCATATGTGTAAACAAAAGGCTTATGGAATTTGGAATTTGTTTAGGGCTATTATTTGATTCTTAAAATCTGAACAGAATTCAGACTAAGGTTAATCCCACCTGTCTCTTAATGGATGAGATTTTTATATTAGTTGGATGAATGCCATAGACTCTTTATTATGTGGTGTGATACTATTTTAAAATATTAACATTTCCTTTTGTTTCAGAAATGTTCTGATAACCCACTCTTTTTGCATTTAGGGAGATAAGAGGGGAGAGTGCCTATGTGCACTGCTCTCAAAGTGTGGTTGTTACATAGAAAAGCGGAGAAAAAGTAGAAGGTAATTTGGATTTTGACCTTCAAAAGGTCTAAACAAAAGGTAAGCTTTTCCTGCCACAGATGAATTCAGATTCTTTAAGGCAAAAGCAGAGGGCAAGAATCAGACACTGAGTTGCCTATGAAGGTCCCTGTTGAGGAGTTCTGGAAATGTATTTTCTACCCATAATGAAGACAAAACCCCAAAGGAAGAACATAGTCTTTAATTAAATTTTAGAATCCATAGCAGAAGAATTTTGAACTTTGTTTCCCTAATGGGACTGAGGAAATCAGCAACTTTCTAGAATTTTATCATGTTTTGCTATGATTCAATAACAATCAACTAGATATTATAATATGTTCTATCTATTCAGAGAGGCCCTGAAACAATCGTCCTGAATTTGCTGCAGAGCTACACTTACATGGTTACATGGGAGTGCTCCAGAGTTCTCCAGGGCTCTCCAGAAGAGTCTCAGGGATATTTGGGGAATATCTATAGATTGGAAGAGTTTTGTACTCAGGATTAGGAGGACACTGAATGATTTACATGGGTTCTTTACCATATGGGAATGAGGATCTGAAGCCATGCCAGGCAAGGTGTAAGTCACACACTCCTACACTTAACGAATAAATTATGCTCTAACTATTACAACGTTTCTCTTTTTCTCTAGCAGCTAAATAAGCACTGGCCTAGAAATCAGCGATATCAAAACAATTACAACTCATCCAGCTCTCAGATGCTTTGAGAAATTCAGAGGATATATGACAATAACTGTAAACTAGTGGAGAAGAAATAGAAAAAAAGAAGGGTACACAGACAAGATTTGAACATGGATAGTTATTGCTCCGATCTTCGATAAAACCATTTGAAAATGGACAGAGTGTAAAATAAACCTGAAATCATGAAGTAAAACCTGTTTGGACTAAGTTTACAATTAATTAGCTAAAAGTATGTTGTTGCTCCTAAATAGAAAAAAGTTTGCGTTAGGAAAGTTCAATTAAAAAAATAGAGGACATCTCTATATCTCCCTCATATTTGTGGATTTTGCAATTTGTATGCACTGTAGTATTCCATATTTTCCTCATCTTGCTTGATGTATTCTTATCATTACTGTACATGAGTTGAGAGCACAGCAGAGTCAGATTGCCTGAGTTTAAATCCTGGCTTGACACCTTATTAGCTGTGTGACCCAAGGCAGAGAAACTTGGTCTTTCTATGGCTCAGCTTACTCATCTGTAAAATGGAGATATTTAGATTACCTACCTAACAAGTATATTATAAAGATGTAAACTAAAAACAAAATCATAAGCTTCTCCACTTAACAGAGAGGGCAGCCCCAGAAAACAATAAACTGAATTTCTGACCATGTTGGAATGGGAGGTCAGACATGCCTCATTATCCCCCCTCCCTTTTGTGGTTTAGACACAACAACACAGCACCATTAATGTTAAAATAGATATTATGAGAGACAAAGAAGATTATTCGTGGCAATAAGATACCAAATTATAAACAAGACCTAAGACCATGCCCAGGAAGGAAGTGTTAAACCACACACCCCTACACTTAAAGAATAAACTATGTTCTAACTGCTACAAGGTTTCTCCTTTTCTCTAGCAGCTAAACAAGCATTGGCATAGAGATAAGCAATATTAAAACAATTACAACTCATCCAGCTCAGGGAAACTGATTAACTGACTCTGTGTTCCAACAGCCATAACTAGAGCTTTGATTGGACAAGAGACTGATTTCAGTAACTTTGTCCTGAACAGACCACGTTGTCCCATAGAAGTGATGTTTATGGTTTCTTTTGAATAAACATAGAAATTGACCCTCCCACTCTTAAAATTTGAAAAAATTACAGTTGTCTTAACTGAGTTCCTTTCTCAGGATACCAACCATCAGTCTTCCCAGATGGTATCAAGATCACAGCATTTGGTCAATGAGGAGCCAGACCCCTCACCTGTCACGGTTGCCTGACTGTTCACCTGCTTCCTGTTGACCAACTCCTCTTCCTTTTTCTTCCCTAATTTCTGTTTTTCTGCATGTAGTTACATTTCTTTCCTGCTATATAAATCCCTGATTTTAGTTGGTCAGGGAGATGGATTTGAGACTGACCTCCCCTCTCCGTGGCTGCAGCACCTGATTAAAGCCTTCTTCCCTGGCAATACTCATTGTCTTAATGACTGGATTTCTGTTTGGCAAGCAGCAGGACCTAGACCAAGCTCCTGGCATT
The DNA here is from genome assembly GCF_000001405.40 of Homo sapiens. NCBI lineage: Eukaryota > Metazoa > Chordata > Mammalia > Primates > Hominidae > Homo > Homo sapiens. The sequence continues at coordinate 82,593,531 of NC_000003.12, forward strand.
TTAGTAATGATAAGAAGACCACAGATTCAAAGGGACAAATACTTTTAAGGGACAATTTAAAATTTTTGCCATTACTTTCAATGGGAAAAACCGTGATTACTTTTGTACCAACCTGAGTTTTCCTTGTGGATTTGGAATAAGTATCCTGGGTAATTGTGATATTTAGCCTCCCCCACACATTTACTCAATTATTTATTTCACAAATTCTGCTAGACAGTGTTCTAATAGTGAATAAAAATAAATTCCATGGTCTTATGAAGCATATGAAGCTTATAATCTACTCATAAGAGCAAACATGAATGTATATGATTTTAGGGCGTATTAGTTCATTTTCACGCTGCTCATGAAGATATACCTGGGACTGGCCAATTTACAAAAGAAAGAGGTTTAATTGGACTTACAGTTCCACATGGCTGATGAGGGTAAGCCTCATCATGGCGAAAGGCAAGGAGGTGAAGTCATGTCTTACATGGATGGCATCAGGCAAAGAGTGGGAGCTTGTGCAGGAGAACTCTTTTTAAAAACATCAGATCTCTTCAGACTTATTCACTATCATGAGAACAGCATAGGAAAGAATGCCCCCATGATTCAATTACCTCCCACCTGGTCCTTCCTACAACATGTGGAAATTCAAGATGTGATTTGGGTGGTGACACAAACAAACCATAGCATTTCGCCCCTGGCCCCCATTAATCTCATGTCCTCACATTTCAAAACCAGTCATGCTTTCCCAACAGTCCTCCAAAGTCTTAACTAATTTCAACATTAACCCAAAAGTCCACAGTCCAAAGTCTCATCTAAGACAAGGCGAGTTCCTTCTGCCTGTGAGCCTGTAAAATCAAAAGCAAGTTAGTTACTTCCTAGATACAATAGGGATAAAGGTGTTGGGTAATTACAGCCATTCCAAATAGGAGACATTGGCCAAAACCTAGGGGCTACAGGCCCCATGAAATTCCAAAATTCAATGGGGCAATCAAATCTTAAAGCTCCAAAATTATCTCCTTTGACTCCATGTCTCATATCCAGGTCATGCTGACACAAGAGGTGGGTTCCATGGTCTTGGGCAGCTCCGCCTCTGTGGCCTTCCAGGGTACAGCCTCCATCCCAGCTGCTTTCACAGGCTAGCATTCAGTGTTTGTGGCTTTTCTAGCACACGGTGCAAGCTGTTGGTAGAACTATCATTCTGTGGTCTGGAGGAAGGTGGGACTCTTCTCACAGATCCACTAGGTGGTGCACCGGTAGGAACTCTGCGTGAGGGCTCCCACCCCATGTTACTCTTCTGCACTGCCCTAGCAGAAGTTCTCCATGAGGGCCCCGCCCCTATAGCAAACTTCTGCCTTGGTATTTCCATACATCTTCTGAAATCTAGGTGGAGGTTGCCAAACCTCAGTTCTTGACTTTTGTGCACTTGCAGACTCAAAACCACGTGGAAGCTGCCAAATCTTGAGGCTTGAACCCTCTGAAGCCACGGATGGGGAAGCTGGGATATAGGGCACCAAGTCACAAGACTGAACACACAAAGGGGACCCTGGACCCTGCCCACAAAACCAATTTTTCCTCCTAGGCCTCTGGACCTGTGATGGGAGGGACTGCCATGAAGACCTGTGATATGCCTTGGAAACATTTTCCCATTGTCTTGGGGATTAAATTTTGGCTCATTATTAGTTACGCAGATGTCTGTAGCCAACTTGAATTTCTCCTCAGAAAAGGGTGTTTTCTTTTCTGCAGCATTGTCAGGCTGCAAATTTTCCAAACCTTTATGCTGTGCTTCCCTCAAGAAACTGAATGACTTTACAGCACCCAAGTCACTTCTTGAGACCTTTGCTGCTTAGAAATTTCTTCAGCCAGATACCCTAAATCATTTTTCCCAAGTTCAAAGTTCCACAAATCTCTACAGCAGGGACAAAATGCTGTCATTCTCTTTGCTAAAACATAACAAGAGTCACCTTTGCTCCAGTTCCCAACAAGTTCCTCATTTCCATCTGAGACCACCTCAGCCCAGACCTTATTGTCCATATCGCTATAAGCATTTTGGGCAAAGCCATTCAACAAGTCTTTAGGGAGTTCCAAACTTTCCAACATTTCCTTATCTTCTTCTGAGCCCTCCAAACTGTTCCAACCCCTGCCTGTTTCACAGTTCCAAAGTTGCTTCCACATTTTTGGTATCTACAGCAGCACCCCACTCCTGGTACCAATATTGTATTAGTCCATTTTCACACTGCTGATAAACACATACCTGACACTGGGCATTTTGTAAAAAAGAAAAGAGGTTTAATCGAACTTACAGTTCCACATAGCTAAGGAATTCTCACAATCATGGCAGAAGGCAAGGAAGAGCAAGTCTAATCTAACATGGATGGCAGCAGGCAAACAGAGAGAGCTTGTGCAGGGGAACTCCTGTTTTTAAAAATATCAGATCTCATGAGACTTATTCACTATCATGAGAACAGTACAGGGAAGATTGGCCCCCATGATTCAATTGCCTCCCACTGGGTCTCTCCCATAAGATCTTACCCTTTTTAAATTATTATTATTTTGTTGTTCCTCTATTCCCATAGGCTACTTACTTGCATGTTAGACAAGAAAAAGAATGGGAATCTGAAGGATTGTATAGAAACTATTAGATTCTAGAATCCAGTCCTGCATCCAACCTGCCTATTTTATTGGCCAGAATTCAGTGACTCAGTAAGTGCAAGAAAGTCAGGGAAATATGATTTTCATACCTAGAGGGAATAAGAAATAGGTTTGGTGAGCATCCAACATTGTCTCAACAACATAGTGCTATAAAGAAAAATAAAGAAAATTAAGGTAATAGTATTGTAGCAAATGTGTAGATGATATTTTAAGTATGATCTTCAAGGAAGGACAAATTGGGAGACTTTGTATAGAAAGGTGAATACAAAGAGGAAGTGTGCTGTTCAAATAACAGGAGAAGGGCTGGGGGCAGTGGCTTATGCCTGTAACCCCAGCACTTTGGGATGCCCAGGTGGGCAGATCACCAGAGTTCAGGAGTTCAAGACCAGCCTGGCCAATATGGTGAAAACCCTTCCCTACTAAAAAATACAAAAAATTAGCGGGTCACGGTGGTGGGTGTCTGTAATCCCAGCTACTTGGGAGGCTGAGGCAGGGAGAATTGCTTGAACCCAGGAGGCGGAAGTTGCAGTGAGCTGAGATCACGCCAGTGCACTCCAGCCTGGGTAACAGAGCGAGACTCCATCTCAAAAAAAAAATAATAATAATAATAATAAAATAACTGGAGAACGAGCAGTCTATACAACTTTAATAGAGGTGTTAAATTAAGCAGGAGGCCATTAGCAGTGCCGTCTCATTACTTTAAGTTTCTAGGTAACAAACTGTAGACTAACTTAGCATGTAAACAAACCAAAACTAACTCAGGAGTGTGGCAAACAGCCAAGTTCAGCTAATCACAAAGAGCCAACCTTCAGCCAATTACAGGCAGTGAAGCCCTAATAAAGCAAATGCCTCATCTCACCATGGCCAAATAAGGCAGATGTCCAGCTGCAGCCAAACAGATTTCTCTACTTTGCTTCTGTGTCTGGAGCATAAAAGCTTGCTGCTCACACTGTTTGGTAGAGCTCTCTGAACTCCCACTGGTTGAGGGTGTTCCCTGATTCATGAATTATTATTTGCTCACATCAAATTTGGTAAATTTAATTTGTCTGAAGTTTATTTTAACAGAGGTAAGGCATGAGGTGTATGTCAGTAAGAATGCAATTACCATCCATTGAAAGAGGCAATTCAATCCCATCTAGTTAAAAAGGGGATAATTCTCAGATCTTTTTTTTTTATCAAGCTCTTACCATTGGCTTGGCAATGTATTTCTGTCAATACCTAGACGATAAATATTTTAGTCTGTTAGGACTACTTATAATGTCCATGAGATTACTTATAATCTTATTGATTATGGAGCCATACTCAGTACAGAAGTGAATGCGTATGGCTGTGTTCCAATAAAACTTAATTCAGAAAAACAGGCAGAGGACAAGATTTGACTTGCAGATTGTTGTTTTCTGATTCCTAATCTGTAGCAGCATCTACAAGGTACACCTAAGCTTTTTATTTTTATTACTTCCCATCACAGTTTGAAACAACCAAGGAAATAATCTTATGCTCTACTGCCCTAACCAATGCATATTTAAGACATGAAAAATCAAGCTGCAATAAAAAATCACTTTATTACTTTAATAAATATGAAAAGCATATTTTCAAAATGTCTTCAGCATAAAATTTCAGAGAAAGAAGTTAATAGAAAGACTAAGATCTGTTAATAATATTAAAGAGTAAGATTTTTTCCCTGAACCGCTGCCTCTGCTGTACATTTTGAAAATGTTAATGCCTTAGATTTTTCCAATACTGTTATCTTTTCCCTTGAATATGATTAAATAAGAGACCAATTTTAAGCTTGACCTAGGAAATTTCAAAGTCAACCTCCATTACCCTTAGCTCAAGGTGTTTCTTGCAGTTATTCTTCCACACTCTCTTTCAATTTTACCTCAGAGCTGTGGAAGTACTAATGCAGTAACTTTGTGTTGAAAACAGTGTAATGGAAAAATGAACTTGCTAAATTAATGCTTGATTACTGCACTGCTTATGGTCTTGATTGGAAGGCATTGAAATTTTAATTCAACTATATTGCAGAAAAACATGTAAAAAACACTTGAGCAATGAGATTTGTTTCCTTAACTGATACAGGCTAAAAACATAGATAATAACTTTGAAAGTTGGATGTACATTAACCCCAGTACACAAAATTAAAGCATCGTTTTGGTTCAATATTATGTCAGAGATTAAAAAAATGTTTAATTTGCTTTATGATAAAATATATACCATTCTAAACTCTCAAGTCAATGAGCCAAAAATAGCATAGAGAAAAGATAGCTAGTACTGTTTTATGTGCACATGTACGTATTACATACACATATGTCAGTCTAGGTTACTCACTTCAACCACTGAGATTTGATGTTCTAAAAATTAGAATAGCATATGTTTAAGCTTTTTGAATTTATTTTATTTTACCTGCATACCATAATAATAGTCAAACTATATATTTTTTGATTATGTATATATGCATGCATGTATATATAATTAAAATTTAAAACAATTACAAATAAAAAGTAAAATGTTTAAAAGTTTAAAAATATAAAAATTAGATTCTACTTTAGATGAAATTTGTTGATGTTGGCATTTCTACAGTATTTATCCAATTTCAATTCCTGGTTAAGGCCCAATGGTCAAGACATTCATTTGGCAATCTAGTGAATGCATGACAGTGCATTGTGCTAGGCACTGGGTATGTTCAGAGGAAGAATACAAAATACCCTCACGGAAATAAAAATCCAAAGCTATAATCCAGCTGCCATAAAGTCATAGGAAGAAAAAGCATATGTTGTATCAATGACTTGAATTTTGTTTGGATGCAGCCACTAACCAGCAGAGTGATATTAAGATGTTTATTTAACCTTTCTGTTTCACAAATTCTCCGATGAAAAATGGTAACTTTTACTAGAGATGAGATATCTGGAAGATTGCTTCTATTTGTGAAGTTCTAAATACATTGCTTACATAAAAATTTTAACAAAGGCTGATTGCTCTGATTAAGATTGTGTTTTGCCAATGTGTACTGGTACAAAAACACACACATAGACCAATGGAAAAGAACAAAAAACTCAGAAATAAAGCTGCACACTTGCAACCATCTGATTTTTGAAAAGGCTGACAAAAACAAGCAATGGGGAAAGGACTCCCTACTCAATAAATGGTGCTGGGATAAGTGGCTAGCCAGGTGCAGAAGAATGAAAAAGACCCTGGCCTTTCACCATATATAAACATGTCATCCATTCTCAAGATGGATTGAAGATGTAAAACACCTCAAACTATAAAAATGTTAGAAGAAAATCTAGGAAATAACCTTCTCAACATCAGGCTTGGCAAAGAATATTTGTCTGAGTTCCCAAAAGCAATCGCAACAAAAACAAAAATAGACAAGTTGGACCTAATTAACCTAAGGAGTTTCTCCACAGCAAAAGAAATGATCAACAGAATAAACAGACAACCTACAGAATGAGATAGAATGTTCACAAACTATGAATCCAACAAAGATTGAATATATCCGGAGTCTATCAGAACTTAAACAAACCAGCAAGCAAAAACCAAATAACCCCATTAAATAATGGACAAAGGACAAGAATAGATACCTTGCAAAATAAGACATACCAGTGGCCAATGAAAAAAATGCTCATCATCATTAATCAACAGATACATGCACATCAAAACCACAGTGAAATACCATCTCATACCAGTCAGAATTGCCGTTATTTAAAAGTCAAAAAACAACAGGTGCTGGCAAAGCTGCAGAGAAAAGGAGATGCTTATACACTGTTGGTGGGAATATAAACTGTTAGTTTGGCCACTATGGAAAGTAATTCAGAGATTTCTCAAAGAACTTAAAACAATACTACCATTTGACCCATCAATCCCATTTCTGGGCACATTTCCAAAGGAAAATATTCTACCAGAAATACACATGCACTTATATATTCATCACTGTACTACTCAGAATAGCAGACGTGGAGTCAACCTAAGTGCTTATCAACAGTGGACTGGATAAAGAAATGTAGTACATATATCCTATGGAATATTATGCAGCCATGAAAAGATAAAATCACATCCTTTGCAACATCATAAATGCAGTTGGAGGTCAAGATCACAAGTCTACTAATGCAGAAATAGAAAACTAAATACTGCATGTTCTCACTTATAAGTGGGAGCTAAACATTGAGCACACACGGACATAAACATGGGGACAATAGACACTGCAGACTACTAGAAAGAAAACAGATGGAGGAAGAGATGTGCATGCTGAAAGACCTCTGGGGTACTATGCTCACTACCTGGGAGCAATATAGCCATGTAATAAACCTGCACAGGTACCCCCTGTATCTAAAATAAAAGTTGAAATTTTAAAGAGAGATTGTGTTTTGCCACTAAATGAGCATCCTGATTAACAAACAGTAAGGCTTTTCCATTTTTCAAGTCAAATATATTTTTATGACTGAGATTTTAACATAAGGAAGCAATAAGCAAAAATTATATTTATTAATATGTTTCATAATCTGAAAGTTTAAATCAGTACAAAAACTGGAATTTCAAAGAGATAAGAAACATAAAATTTGAATATATACAAATTATTTCATAAAAACTACAATTTAAATAATTTAGTTATATTCATAAGTTTATTCCAAATTATCAGGATAGTAATATGAAATTTAAAATTAGTAAAATAAAATTTAAAAAGGTGTTTGTCTTAGGTAAGTTATTTAATAGCCAAATGAATATAAGCAGACCTTAATTCCCTCTTCTATCTGTGTTTCAACATGTGGCCTTTTGATTTTTAAAATTATTGTCCTGTGGTATGATTTGGGTGGTCCATTCCAAGACCTCTCATTTTTTCAACTCTGTTACACTTGGTCTTGCTCAGGGCAATCATTTTGTAATTGCTGTTTCTCATACATATATGAACTAGGTTCTTCGTGTGGTCACAAATTAACACATGCAAACCCTTAAGTTTCATTCGACACATAATTTAAGAACTAATTGAAAAAAAATTAATTCTGCTATTGCTTGAATACCTTCTGATGAAAACATCTAGTGTGGTAAGCAAAATCTCAGCTTCAAATGAGTTATAGCTTAAAAGAAAATTCCAGTTGAAAATAATGAAAAACTTTTTAAAGAAATTATTTATCACTAAGCTCTTAATTGTACAAGGAATATCTTCTGAAAAAAATACAAATATTATGACTCTAAGTAGAAAAGTGATTTAAGTAATTCAGAAAAATCAAATGGTGAAAAATGTTTTAAGTATACCTTATCCAAATTATTTTTATAAGTCTTTTCCAATAACATATGTTTATATCTAAGCCTAAATGTATGCAAACACAGCTAAAACAGCTCTGTTAACAAAGAGAACATTTAGTAATAAAAAAGCATTATATTATGTTTTTATTGGCAGAACTATTTTCTTCTACGTTGAGTAGTTTCCGTAATAACAGTATATCTTATGATTGATAGTACCTTTGATTTAGTGAAATAAAATTGAATGATATTATAAATTAAGGTGATATATGTATATAGCCTAGGTAACAGCATTTTGCTTCAGCATCATTTAGAGACAAAAATAATAAAGTGATTACTTTAAAATATAGAGACGAAACAGAGAATTCGAGGCTAACAGGGTATGCTGAAATTAGTTGAGTGCTTCTATGTTAAAAAAAAAAACAAACAAAACAAAACATGTATATAACAGAAAAATAATCAATGGGGCCAAAATCTAAAGAAAATGGACTATGTCACCAAGCAGAGGATAGATGAATGTAATATCGATGGCAGTTGCCAACTTTAATTTCTCATGAATCTATAAATTATCTTGTGTCTCCTTCTCTATGTTTATTTGTATTTTACAAAATATTATTAAAATACCACAGGGAGATTGGAGAGATGTATAAGAAAAATTACGTATAACACCAACAGTTTAATATATTGACTTCTTCACTTAACAAGAGTATATGAACATTTATTGTGTATTATTTTCAAGCTGCTAAAGATTTATCAATAAACAAAACAGACAAAAATATCTGTCTTCATGAAGTCTGTATTCTAAAAGATCAGTAAACAAATAAATATATATGGAATATGTTGGAAGATGGTTAGTACTCTGGTGAAAAATAAATATGGGTAAGAGGAAATGGAACACTTCAGGAGGTACTGTTTATTGAAGGTGATCCAGAATGATCTCTACGGAAGCAGAGGTTGAGCACAGACCTGAAGTAAGGCACATAAAATATCTGGCTCTGTGATAGAAAATAGATGATGTGATCCATGGGTGGTGAGGTCAAATAATGAAGTTCTTTTAGACAAGAAGAGTAGGAACTTCAATTTTTACTCTGAGTAATATGAGGAACCATTTAGGTTATGAAGAAAAGTCTAGTATATTCTGATGTATGGATTTAAAATATGAGCTAATTTTGCTATGTTATTGAGAATACACTGAAATAGGGCAGAAGTGGAGCAGAGAGAAGAGTTCAAAAATAACAATAAGGATTCAGATGAGAAATAGTAGTGACTCAGAGAAGATAGCCTTGATTGGGGAGGGGTAGGAGTATGTAAGATATACTTAGATTCTGAATGCCATGAAACTGTGAAAAAATTAATAAGGATGCTCAGAAAAGTTCTCATTATGAAGGCGGTATTTGCTCAAAGACCTAAAGCTGAGAGAGAGAGCCATGTAAGATTTGTATAAATAGTATAACAGAGAAAAAAGATTTCTATGGCAAAGACCTTGAAGCAAAATCATATCTGATGTGGTCCAGGATCATCAAATATCAATGAGTTTGAGATAGAAAACAAGATATGAGATATGAGGGGTAACATGGAACCAGACTCATATTGCTTTTAAGACTTTCAGAAGCAGTAAGAATGTTTAAGAAGGGGGAAAAACTATTTATCTTATATTTTAGCAATTACTTTTGCTATTGTGTTGAGAGTGAACTCCTCAGGGATAAATATATTTCTAGAAATCTGTAAGTACATCTGAAAATATATAGAAAAACACATTATCAATGTTAGATTCTCACTCAGAGGAAAGACTTCCAATATAAAGCAAAAAACCCACATACTATTGCAATAAAATTGACATTATTTGATTACATAATCAAAAGATAAACAGAAAATTACTTCTGCTATAAAAATGATTACAGAACAATTATGAAAATTGAGGAAATTTTGCAATATAAATAATAAATTGTTGATATTTGATTTATGATTTAATACAAAATAATAGTAACAGAATAGAAAAGTTGGACAAATGATACATTAGATAGTCAAAAATGTGAAAAAAAAGATCATTATATACTAGATGATAATTTAGTACTATCATTCAAAGTATGAAATCTGTTTATATACTTAATGAGAAATGGCATCACCAAGAATGTATCATTAAGAAACACACAATACGTTAAAATAATGCATTGTTTTAAAAAATAATTTGTAACATAGCAAAACAAAAGTGTAAGCAATTAAAATGTTCATTAAGAGGCAGAGAAAGATGGTGGAGTAGGAAGCTCCACCAACTGTCCCCTGCACAAGGACACCAAGTTAACCACTATCTACACAAAAAAAAAAACACCTTCATAATAACCAAAAATCAGGTGAATGCTCACAGTACCCGGTTTTCACTTTATGTAGCTGAAAGAGGCACTGAAGAGACAGAAAAAACAGGCCTTAAGTGCTGATGTCACACATCCTCCGCCCCTTGGCAGTGGCTGCAAGGTGCAGAGAGCATCTCTCGGCACTGTAGGAGGGAGAGTACAGCAACGGTGAGGCATTGAACTTTGTGCTGCCCTGTTAAGAGTAGAAAGGAAAACCAGACCAAACTCAGCTGAAGGCTTCCCATGAAGAGAGCATTTAAACCAGCCCTAGCCAGAGGGGACTAGCCGATCCTAGCAGTCCAAAGTTGAGTACCTGCAAACCTCTCCACGAAGGGCTCTGTGTCTTCAAGTAAACTTGAAAGGTAGTATAGTCCATAAGGACTGCAAATCTTTGATGGGTCCTAGTGCTCAACTAGGCGGGTGGGAGGGCACATACAACATACTGAGAAACTAGCTGGAGAAGCTAAGGGAGTCCTGGCATCCACCCTATGCCCAGGCTGCAAAGCTCATGACTCCAGAATAGACACTTCCTTCTGCTTGAGGAGAGGAGAGGGAAGAGTGGGAAGGACTTTGTCTTGCATCTGGGATACCAGCTCAGCCACAATAGGATAGGGCACAATTTAGAGTCACGAGGCCCCCATTCCAGGCCCTAGATGCCAGATGACATTTCTGGGATAGACACACGCTGGGCCAGTAGAGCATCCACTGCCTTGATGGAAAGGACCCAGTCCTAACAGCATTCATCATCTGCTAACTGAAGAGCCCTTGGGCCCTGAATAAACAGCAGCAATATCCAGATACTATATTGAGTGTTTTGGGTGAACCTCCAAGACTTGCTGGCTACAGATGAGACTCAGCACATTACCAGTTGTGGTATCAATGGGGCAGAACTCCTTCCGCTTGAGAAAAGCAGAGGGGGAAAAAAAAAGGCTGAGAGGATTTCATCTTGCATGTTGGACCCAGCATGGCCACAGAGGGAATAGAGCACCAAGCAGGCTCTTGGGGTCCCTGATTCCAGGACTTGACTCTTGGATGGCATTCCTAGACCTAACCTGGGCCAGAGGTGAGCCCACTACCCTGAAGGGTAAGTCCCAGGCCAGGCAGCATTCATGGCAAGCTGACTTAAAAGACCTTGGTCCTTAAGGGAACATTGACAGGTAATCTGGCAGGACTCCTAGCGGTTTGGCGTGGTGAGGGCTACAGGCCTCTGCCTTTGGAAAGGGGAAGGAATAGTAGGGAGGACTGTGTCTTGCAGTTTGAGTGCCAGCTCAGCCACAAGACAATAGTATACCAACCAGGTAGACTTCTTAGGTTTTTGACTCTAGTCCCCAATTCCTGGGTGGGACTTCTGAACCAATCCAGGGCCTGGGGGACCTTGCTGCCCTGATGGGAAGGACATAGGCTTGACTGGCTTTTCCACCTGCTGATTGTAGAGCCACAGGCCCTTGAGCAAACATAGGCAGTAGCCAGGAAGTGGTTACCAGGGCTTGGGCAAGACCCAGCACTGGATTGGCTTCAGGTTTGACCCAGTGCAGTCATAGTGGTGGTGGTCCCAGTGGTGCTTGTGTCACTCCACCTCCAGCTTTAGGTGGCTCAGAACAGTGAGAGAGACTCTGTATGTTTGGAACAAAGTAAAGGAAAAGAACAAATCACTGCCTGGTAATCCAGAGAGTTCTCCCAGATCTTGTCCAAGATCATCAAGGCAGCACCTCTACAAGTCTGCAAGAGCTACAGCATTACTGGGCTTGGGTTGTCCCACAATGAAAATTCAGCTTAGATCAAAACACACAGGTTCTTTTAAATATCTGGAAAGCCTTCCCCAAAAGGATAGCTACAAATAAGCTAAGACAGTGAAGACTACAATAAATACGTAACTGTCTAATGCCCAAACACCAAAGAACATCTACTAGTATTAACATCATTGAGGAAAAAATGAACTCATCAAATGAACTAAATAAGGCACCAGGGACTAATCCTGGAGAAACAGAGTTATGTGACCTTTCAGACAGAAAGCTCAAAATAGCTGTGTTGAGGAAACTCAAAGAAATTCAAGATAACAGAGAAAAGGAATTCATAATTCTCTTAGATATATTTACCAGAGATTAAAATAATTTTAAAAAATCAAGCAGAAATTCTGGAGCTAAAAAATGCAATTGGCATACAGAAGAATGCATCAAAGTCCCTTAATAGTAGAACTGATCAAACAGAAGGAAGAATTAGTGAGCTTGAAGACAGGCTAATTGAAAATACATACTCAGAGGAGACGAAAGGAAAAAAGTAAAAAAGCACTTCAGCAAGATCTGAAAAATAGCCTCGAAAGGGCAAATTTTAGAGTTACTGGCCTTAAAAAGGACGTAGAGAAAAAGCTAGAGGTAGAAAGTTTATTCAAAGGGATAAAAACAGAGAACTTCCCAAACCTAGAGAAACATATCAATATCCAAGTACAAGAAGATTATAAACACCAAGAAGATTTAACCCAAAGAAGACTACCTCAAAGCATTTAATAGTCAAATTCCCAAAGGTCAAGGATAAAAAAAGAATCTTAAAAGCAGCAAGAGAAAAGAAACAAATAACATACAACGGAGCTCTAATACATCTGGCAGCAGGATTTTCAGCAGAAACTTACAGGCCAGGATAGCATGGTATGATATATTTAAAATGCTGAAGGAATAAAAAAGAAAAACAAAAAACCTTTACCTTAGAATTGTACATCTGGCAAAAAATAACCATAAAACATGAAGGAGAAATAAAGACTTTCTCAGACAAACAAAAGCTGAGGGATTTTATCAGTATCAGACCTGTCCTACAAGAAATGCTAACAAGAGTACTTCAATCAGAAAGAAAAGGTCATTAATGAGAAATAAGTAGCGATAGTCACCTGAAGATACAAAACTCAATGGTAATAATAAGTACACGGAATAACACAGAATATTATAATACTGTAGCTATGGTGTGTGAACTACTCTTATTCTAAGGAGAAAGGCTAAATTATGAGCCATTCAAAAATAATAACTACAAAAACTTTTAAAGACATAATACAATAAGATAAATAAAAACAACAAAAAGTTTAAAAGCAGGGCAACAAAGCTAAGGCATAAACTTTTTATTAGTTTTCTTCTTTATCTGTTTATTTGTTTAGGCAAATAGTATTAAGTTGTTATCAGATTAAAATAATGGATTATAAGATAGCATTTGCAGGCTTCATGGTAACATCAAACCAAAAAAAAAGCATACAATAAATATACACACACACAAAAGCAAGAAACTAAATTTTATCACCAGAGAAAATTACCTCCAATAGAGGAAGTCAGGAAGGAAAGAAAGAAGGAAGAGAATATCACAAAACAACCAGAAAACAAATAACAAAATGGCAGAAATAAGTTCTTACTTACTAATAATAACACTGAATGTGAATAAACTAAACTCTCCTATTAGAAGACATAGACTGGATGAATGGATGAAAAAACAAGACCGATTTATCTGTTGCCCACAAGGAACACACTTCACTTTTGAAGACATACATAGACAGAAAAGAAAGGGATGGAAAAAGATATTCCATGAAACTGAAACAAAAAGGAGCAGAGTCACTATACTTATATCAGACAAAATATAGTACAAGAGGAAAACTATAAGATGAGACAAAAAAGGTTACTGTATAATGATACATGGGTCAATTCAGTAAGAGGATACAACAATTTAAATATATATACACCAACACAGGAGCACCCAGGTACAAAAAGGAAATGTTTGGAAATATTAGTAGAGCTAAAGAGAGATAGACCCCAATATATTAATTGCTGAAGACTTCAACAGCCCACTTTCAGCACTGGACAGGTCTTCCAGACAGAAAATCAGTTAGGATTCATCAGGCTTAACCTGCACTGTAGACCAAATGGATTTAATAGATATTTACAGAACGTTTCATTAAAGAGTTGCAGAATACACAGTCTTTTCCTTAGCACATGGATTATTCTCAAGATGGACCACATGTTAGTTCACTAAACAAGTTTTAAAACATTCCAAAAAAACTAAAGTAGTATCAAGCATCTCCTTTGCCTTCAGGGAATAAAACTAGAAATTAATAACAAGAGGAATTTTGGAAACTATAGAAATATATGACAATTAAACAGTATGCTTCTGAATGATCTGTGGGTCAATAAAGAAATTCAGAAGGAAATTGAAAAATTTCTTGAAACAAATACACATATACACCATGGAATACTATGCAGCCATAAAAAAGGATGAATTCACGTCCTTTGTAGGGACATGGATGAAGCTGGAAACCATCATTCTCAGCAAACTATCACAAGGACAAAAAACCAAACACCACATGTTCTCACTCATAGATGGGAATTGAACAATAAGAACACATGGACACAGGAAGGGGAATGTCACACACCGGGGCCTGTTGTGGGGTGGGGGGAGCGGGGAGGAATAGCATTAGGAGATATACCTAATGTTAAATGACGAGTTAATGGGTGCAGCACACCAACATGGCACATGTATACATATGTCACTAACCTGCACATTGTGCACATGTACCCTAAAACTTAAAGTATAATAATAAAAAAAAAGAAACAAAGAATTAGAAAAACACAACATATCAAAACCTAAGGGATACAAACCAAGCAGTACTAAGAGGGAAGTTTACAGATATAAGTGCCTAAGTCAAAATAGGAGGAAAACCTTCAAATTAACAATCTAATGATGCACCTTAAAGAACTAGAAAAGCAAGACTGAATCAACTCCAAAATTTGTAGAAGAAAATAAATAATAGCAGTAATAAGTAAAATTGAAATAAAATTAGCATTATAAACAATGAAACAAAATTTGTTTTTTTGAAAAATTAAACAAAGCTGGCAAATAATTAGCCAGACTAAGAAAAAAAAAGAGACTTTTCCAGTAAATAAAATCAGAAATGATAAAAAGAGACATTACAACTGATACTGCAGAAAGTCAAGGCAAAAGGTCATTAGTGGCTACTATGAGCAACCCTATGCCAATAAACTGGAAAATCTAGAAGAAATTGACAAATTCCTAGATACATACAACCTGCAAAAATCGAACCACAAAGAAGCCCAGAACCTGAACAGACCAGTAACAAGTAACACTCTTTAAGCCATAATAAGTCTCTCAGTAAATAAAAGACTGGGGCTTTACGGCTTCACCTCTGAATTCAAACAAACATTTAAAGAAGAACTAACACCAATTCTACTCAAACTCTTTGGAAAACAGAGAAGAAAATACTTCCAAACGCATTCTACAAAGCCAGTATTACCCTGATACCAAAAACAGACAAAGATATATTTAAAAATATACAGGACAATATCTCTGATGAATACTGATGCAAAAAACATCAAGAAAATACTAGCAAGTCTAATTCGACAATACATTAGAAAGATCATTCATCACCACCAATTGGGATTTATCCCTGGGATGCAAGGATGGTTCAACATATGTAAATCAATCAATATGATTCATCATATCAACAGAATGGAGGATAAAAACCATATGGTCATTTCAATTGATGATGAAAAAGCAATTGATAAAATTCAACATCTTTTGATAATAAAAACCCTGTTAAAAATGGGGATAGAAAAAACATAATTAAACATAATAAAAGCCATATACAACAGACCTATAGCTAGTATTATACTGAATGCAGAAAAGCTTTTCCTCTGAAATCTGGAATATGACAAGGATGCCTGCCGTCATGATGTTATTCAATATATTACTGAAATCCTAGTAAGAGCAATCAGACAAAAGAAAGATATAAACGGCATCCAAACAAGATAAGAAGAAGTCAAATTATTCTTGTTTACAGATTATATGATTTTAAATTTGGAAAAACATTACGACTTCACAGAAAACTATTAAAACTGATAAATTCAGTAAAGTTGCAGCATACAAAAAAATATAAAATTAGTAGGAGTTCTATATGTCAATAGAGAACAATGTGAAAAAAAAGCTATTCCATTTACAAATAGCCACACAAAAATTAACTACCTAGGAATTAACCAAATAAGTAAAATATTTTTGTAATGAAAACTATAAAATGCTGATGAAAGAAATAAAAGACACCAAAAAGTGGGAAAATATTCTGTTTGTGGATTGAAATAATTAATATTATGAAACTGTACATCCTACCCAAAGCAATCTACAGATTCAACAATAAGTGCCAAGATACCAATGGCATTCTTCACAGAAATATAAATTACAATCCTAAAATTTATATGAAACCAAAAATGACTCAGAATAGCCAAAGGTATCCTAAGCAAACCAAGCCAAAACAAAACAACGACAACAACAAAACTGGAGGAACTGCATTATGTGACTTCAAATTATACTACAGAGCTACAGTAACAAAAATGGCATGATGGTGGCATAATAGCAGAAACATACAACAATGGAACAGAACAGAGAACCCAGAAATAAGAAAAAAAAAGAAGTTTCAAATAAATAAAATCAGAAATGAAAAAAAAAGACACATTACAAATGATACTGCAGAAAGTCAAAAGGTATTTAGTGGCTACTATGAGCAACTATATGCAGTATATACAGTAACCAAAACATCATGGAACACCACATGTTCTCACTTGTTTATGGGATCTAAAAATAAAAACAATTAAGCTAATGTACATAGAGAATAGAAGGATGGTTACTAGAATCTGGGAAGGGTTGTGGAAGGCTGGATGAAGTCGAGGGGTGAGGTGGGGATGACTAATAGGTACAAAAAAAAAAAGCAGAAAATCTTAAAGAGAGTAATTGGATTGTATGTGACTCAAAGGATAAATACTTGAGGGGATGGTTACCCCATTGTTCATGATGTGTTTATTTGACATTGGAAGCCTGTATCAAAACTACATATATTGCATAAATATATACACCCACTATGTTCCCACCAAAATTTTTAAAAAGGGTTAAAGTCCATTAATACAGAATAATACTATGGTGAAATCAGAAGTTTCATTTTGGATACTCTTTAAGGTTAAAAAAAGTCTCATTTTTTTTTAGAGTATTTCATTTAAATATTCACTTTATTCCAGATGGTCTTGATAATTTTGAGAAACTCTGCTTTTCTTTTTATTTTAAAATGTAGATTCAGACTTTTATTCTACTTGATGTTCTCTTGGTTTCTAATATCTATGGCTTGGTGTCTCATTAATTTTGGAAAATCATTTCTTCTGTCCTGTTCTCTCTCTCTCCTCCTTTTGGATTCCTATCATATTTATGAAAGGCTTCTTGGTATTGCTCCACAGCTTTTTGATGCTTAGTTTTGATTGTTTTGTTTATTTTTATTCTTTTGTTCTCTTTGAGTTTCAGTTTGAATAATTTCTTTTTTAATTTTACTTTGATTTCTGGGATACATGTGCTGAACTTGCAGGTTTGTTACATAAGTATGCATGTGCCATGGTGGTTTGCTGCACCTATCAACCCGTCATTTAGGCTTTAAGCCCCGCATGCATTAGGCATTTGTCCTAATGCTCTCCATTCCCTTGTCCCCCAACCCCCGACAAGTCCTGGTGTGTTATGTTCCCCTCCCTGTGTCCATGTGTTCTCATTGTTCAACTCCCACTTATAAGTGAGAACATGTGGTGTTTGGTTTCTGTTCCTGTGTTAGTTTGCTGAGGATAATGGTTTCCAGCTTCATCCATGTCCCTGCAAAGGACATAAACTCATTTTTGTTATGGTTACATAGCATTCCACAGCGTATATGTGCCACATTTTTTTTTTATCCAGGCTATCATCGATGAGCATTTAGATTGATTCCAAGTCTTTGCTATTGTGAATAGTGCTGCAATAAACATACGTGTGTATGTGTCTTTATAGTGGAATGATTTATAATCCTTTGGGTATATACCCAGTAATGGGATTGCTGGGTCAAATGGTATTTCTGGTTCTAGATCCTTGAGAAATAGCCATACTGTCTTTCATAATAGTTGAACTAATTTCCACTCCCACCAACAGTGTCAAAGCGTTCCTATTTCTCCACAGCCCCACCAGCATCTGTTGTTTCCTGAATTTTTAATGATTGCCATTCTAACTGGCATGAGATGGTATCTCATTGTAGTTTTCATTTGCATTTCTCTAATGGCCGGTGATAAGCTTTCTTTCATATGTATGTAGGCCACATAAATGTCTTCTTTGGGGAAGTGTCTATTAATATTCTTTGCCCACTTTTTGATGTTTTTTTTTTCTTTTCTTGTAAATTTGTTTAAGTTCCTTGTAGATTCTGGATATTAGGCCTTTGTCAGATGAACAGATTGCAGTTTTCTTCTCCCATTCTGTAGATTCCCTGTTCAGTCTGATGATAGTTTCTTCTGCCGAGCAGAAGCTCTTTAGTTTAATTAGATACCATTTGTCAATTTTGGCTTTTGTTGCCATTGCTTTTGGTGTTTTAGTCAGGAAGTCTTCGCCCATGCCTATGTCCTGAATGGTATTGCCTATGTTTTCTTCTAGTGTTTTTATGGTTTTAGGTCTTACATTTAAGACTTTAATCCATCTTGAGTTAATTTTTATATAGGGTGTAAGGAAGGGGTCCAGTTTCAGTTTTCTGCATATGGCTAGCCATTGCTCCCACTACCATTTATTAAATAGGGAATCCTTCTCCCATTGCTTGTTTTTGTCAGATTTGTCAAAGATCAGATGGTTGTAGATGTGTGGTATTATTTCTGAGGCCTCTGTTCTGTTCCATTTGTCTATATATCTGTTGTGGTACCAGTACCATGCTGTTTTGGTTACTGTAGCCTTGTAGTGTAATTTGAATTCAGGTAGCGTGATGCCTCCAGCTTTGTTCTTTTGGCTTAGGATTGTCTTAGCTATATGAGCTCTTTTTTGGTTCTATGTGAAATTTAAAGTAGTTTTTTTCTAATTCTGTGAAGAAAGTCAACGGTAGCTTGATGGGGATAGCACTGAATCTATAAATTGCTTTGGACAGTATGACTATTTTCACAATATTGTTTCTTCCTATCTATGAGCATAGAAACTTTTTTTTCATTTGTGTCCTCCCTTATTTCCTTGAACAGTGGTTTGTTGTTCTTGAAGAAGTCCTTCACATCCCTTGTTAACTGTATTCTTAGATATTTTATTCTCTTTGTAACAATTGTGAATAGGAGTTCACTCATGATTTGGCTCTCTGCTTGTCTATTGTTGGTGTAAAGCAATGCTTGTGATTTTTCCACACAGATTTTGTATCCTGATACTTTGCTGAAGTTTTTTATCAGCTTAATGAGTTTTTGGGCTGAGATGATGCAGTTTTCTAAATATACAATCATGTCATCTGCAAACAGAGACAATTTGACTTCCTCTCTTCCTATTTGAATATTTTTTATTTCTTTCTCTTGCCTGATATGCCTGGCCAGAACTTCTAATACTATGTTGTATAGGAGTGGTGAGAGAGGTATCCTTGTCTTGTGCTGGTTTTCAAAGGGAATGCTTTCAGCTTTTGCCCATTCAGTATGATATTGGTTATGGATTTGTCATAAATAACTCTTATTATTTTGATATATGTTTATTCAATACCTAGTTTATTGAGAGTTTTTAGCATCAAAGGGCGTTGAATTTTATTGAATGCCTTTTCTGCATGTTGAGATAATCATCTCTCTTTTGTCCATTTACAGAAAAAGTTTTCCAACTCTGTATTTTTAAATTAATTTGATCTTTGTTATTAATTCATAGAAATGAGATAATATATAAGGATCAGTAAAATCACCATGACATACAGAATATCAGAGAGCCCAAAACTTCTTAAAAGTTGTAAAAACATCAAATGTGGAAATTTCATATTAGGATGTTAGAGGAATTCTACTAATGAAACACATCTTATGGTTTAAAAAGAACAAATCTTCAGAATCACATCATAACTGAAACTAATTTTTCAATAAATACACGAATGACATAGTACTTAGCATGTTCAGATCTAGAAAAATTTAGTAGGTAACCATTAATATTTTCAAATGGGTTATATTCTCCTAAAAACAAATGTCCATTAAACTAATGCTTTTGATAGTCATGGATGTTTAGGCAGCTTTTGTTTCTTTAATTTTATAATCATTCCAATGAGACTGCTCTACTGTTAACTCCTCTTTACAATGAAGTACCCTGGAAAATCAGAGATATCAAGAAAGCACACTGTAATAGTATTATTTAAGATTAAACTGGAAAAACCTAAATACCAGGTAATATATAGCTTCCACTACCTCCGAATTTTCATGTCAACCTTACCACAAGTACTGGTGCTCTCTCTTATAAATTGTCTCCATGTGTCTCACTCACTCTTCATGCATCTCTCTCTCTTTCCTTCTTTCTTTTCATCCCTCTTTCTTTCCTTTGCTCCTTCTCCATCTTTTCCTTTTCCTTCTCTCTTTTCCTATTTTTTTCTTTCTCTTTTCCTAACATTATTTTTTTCATCTTATTTCCTAACCTAGAAATAACTGACGCATGTCACAAGTGTCCCAGAGCCATAGAAACAAAAACTCCTAAGGAACAATCACATTTCAGATGTTAGTCCTCATGATGATAACTCTCAATATGGATTAAACTGTGATTGATCCCAGCCATTTCTGGGATATTAAGATTCCCCTGGCATATATCAGAAAAATCATTCAAAGTGATTTAGTAGAGAAATGGAAAATGATTATTGTTGAAACGTACCATAGCCTGGTCACCTCTTTACTCTCGTCTGCCTTCAACTTGCACACAGGAAAACACAATCTCAGCCATTAAGTTCAATCTTACCCTACCTTCTTAATTCCATAAACTGCACTGCCATAGTCCTTCATAATTTTAAACTCTATCCCTCAATGTTAATACTTATATTTAAATGTTGTATATTTAATTTGCAATTGTGTACACATATTTTAAGTTTATATTCATGTATCATATAAACTCCTATAAGGCAGGTGTTGTGCCTCTTCAGGTCACTGTTTTATTCCTAACATCAAGTTCAGTAATCTAAATGATTTGTTGTTTAATTTTAAAAATGCATTACAGGATTTCTGAATGATATGAAAAGTGTATTAAAACATTCCACATGATTGACTATATGACCCCTATGAAAACGTAAGACATATAAAAGCACAATTGATGAGATCTGAACAGGACTACTTCAGAGACACACAAAGAGGGAGTGAGAGAGGGAGGAGTTATTCAAGGCCCCTGAATCAAAGAGGTAATTTGGAAAGATGCCCCTCTCAATTTCCCCTTGTATGGGGATTAACACCTAGGCTCTGATATGCCTTTTATCACTTTTTGAAAAATGTTCAAATACTATAAATTATCTCCCTATCCCTTACTTCAAATTGAATGTTGCTTATGATCACAAATCTTGTTGGTTTTAGCTTTTTAAAGAAATATGAGCTTTTACCCTTTTAGTCTATTATTCAAATAAACTCAAACGAAGGCCAAAGCAATCATCTGGGAGTTCCATTTAGGTAGTTCTTCAAGCTGGATCATTCAGGTCAAATACAAATGGTTTACAATCGTGCATTTTTTAAAATTTTCTCGATTTAATTTCCTCATCATTCCATTTCACATTGCCTATGTAAATTAAGCTGTCGTGCTGTAAACCACAGTTGCCCCTTGTCTGCCTCCTCAGTAACAGCTTCAAAGTACTAAAAAGCTGAAATAGCTACAAAAGAACAATTAATTTGTGCAAAATCACAGAGACGCTGTAGGTATTAAAAACACTACAATAAGGCTTTTATCAGTGAGCTAAACTGCACAGGATTAAGCTAAAAACT
This sequence comes from Homo sapiens, assembly GCF_000001405.40. NCBI lineage: Eukaryota > Metazoa > Chordata > Mammalia > Primates > Hominidae > Homo > Homo sapiens. Next base: position 82,615,495 of record NC_000003.12, read on the forward strand.
AATAGGGCTGAACATGAAGCACAATGATGTGGATGATAAAGGAATCTCAAGGACATGCAGAGAATGGGGGTAAAGTGATTTAGAAGTGATGCAGTTATTTCAAATAAACATCTCCATAAGTACATAAGAAAAATGCTGATCTGTTGGGAAAGGTGGGTTTAGACCAGTAAGTACATTTACATCTATTTTTGAGAAACTTACATTTTTATGGAAATTACTTTTGAAGACTCTGATAATGTATCCTGAGGTTGTTCAGTGTATACTTGTTGATTGGCAATTGGCTGACGATTTGATATTTACAAACTTAAATATATGAACTGTACAAAAAGATGGGATATTACATCTAAAATTGCCTAAAAGGATTACATTAAAATAAAATCAGGAGTGCCACTGCCTCTTGTATTAAAATACCAATGGAAACAATTCCTTTAATCAATTGTTTATTTAATGGTTGCTGTTAGCCCAAAATTGTATTACCTGCTATGGGCTGGAAAGGAAGTTAAACTAGTGATGTAATTTCTAAGTGAACACATTAAATGCTTCCAGAACTAGATAGAGAAGAATGAATTTCTAATTGTGAAATAAACACAGTGGTTGCACTGGGACACAGAGAGAAAAAAAGTTTTTATATAAACTATAGAGATTGCTTGCTTTTATTTCAGTTGCAACCAAATATATATAGATTTCAATCTCAGGCCCACCGTTAACATACTGTGTAATTTTCTGCCAACTATTCCTTTTCTTTGAGTCTAAGTTTTCTCACCTGGAAAATGGGTGGAGTAAAATAGACTTCACCCAGCTGTTATAAAGAGGAAATATGAAAAATGTTCTAACTGTGAAGCATAGAGTAGGCATTCAAGGAATATGTGCTCAGATTATTTTTAATAAATATATCCACCCAACAGTAGGTATGCTTACTGTGCTTACCATACGAATTTCATAAGATTACAAATATGAGAGACAGAAGTTTTCTTTTCCTTTTTCTAAATGATCATTTGATTGAATGCATTTAATTTACAAATGTGAATATTGAGATTCAGGAGCACACGCCACAGATTCTCTCTGAAAATGTGTACCACGTACAGAGTGCCACATAAAGCACCAGCACATGTTGCTATTTGGAAGATTGGAGGATGCTTTCTGGAATATTAGGTGCTAGACTCTCTATGCATAAGAAAATATTACCAGCTTATTATTTCAGTTGCTCCTTCATATTCCAATGTCATACTTCAAGAAAATCTGATTTATGTATTACCTAGTTTTGCATGCTTTCTTTATAATGTGGCCACATGTCAAATATTCATCTGCATATAATGCAATACATAACTAAATAGAAAAATCCACTCACAAGTTTATTTAGACTGACTTGCATAAAACAGTGAGGAATTGTGAAGAGTGATTTCTTTAACAGTAGCTCTTCAGGCACCAGAAAGAAATACTAACTAAATACAAGCCATTCATACTTAGAACTTGTTGTAAACATGCCACTTAGTGTTTGTGAACCTGTATCATGCCAATACAATGAATATTAGAAATTTTAATAGCACATTTCATTTACAAATTCAGTCATGTGCAAACAGTAGATGTTTCCAAATAAGTGGGAAATAATTAAATAATTAATATAACGGTGGCACTCATGTTTATACATTATTATATAAAATGGTAAAAAAAAAAACTACCTAATTTTAGCTTTTCTGCCTGGCCTTTTCCTTTAAAAATTTCCAAAATTGCTGAAAAAATAAAATATAAAACAGTATAAGGTGTTACCTTCACCCACATTCACACTTTCACACATTTTTTATCTTGCTGTATTTCTCCCTTTCGTGTTTTTTTTTTTTTTTTTGCTGAAGCACTTAAAATGTTTGTAAACATGTTAATACTTCACTCCTAAATACTTTAGTACTTTAGTTACATCTATTTTATAACAAGACCCAGGAAGTTTATTATAGACATAACATTATTATCTAATTAAGAGACTCTATTTAAAATATATTTTAAGTTTGTTTTTAATCCATGTGGAAAATTTTGCTCCTGTGCCTGAATTATTTCCAAACTGATCAATGTTATAGATTTACTGCATTTGTACTTTTGAAATGTTAACACTATGAATTGTAATCTTTGTTTAAGATATTACTTATTAAAATGATTGTTTTTATAAAGAGAGTTTATGGAGTGAATCTTGATCACCTCATTTTATATATCTAAGAAGAAGTATCAGATTGTATGATGCCAGTGTGGGTAAAACACAGAGAATAGCATGTTACACAGTTATATACATCTTTATAGCGATCATTCATTAACTTTGGAATCAAAATTTGAAATTCTGTGCTCTAAATGTATAGAAAAATTCTCTTGTTTCTCCATTTGGAAATTTTAACAATTAATGATACAAAAAGCAACAGTTATAGTGCAAAGATGAAATACCAGCAGAAGAGCAAACTCTAAACATTTTAAGTAATGTTGGAAGAGTTCTTACAGGGTTATAAACGTTAAAGGCGATTCCTTTAGTGTATAACTTGAGTCTTATGGTAGAGCAGTAAGCTAGCGTATCAGCCGATTACTTGAAGCATGAGTATTTTAGACATAAATTGTATAGATATCATCAACTAAGTATGTTAGAAATTTTTACTATAATTCTATAGTACATATAATACATGTATATATAATACATGTAAATGTACTATAATACATTTGCATGTATTAAACATGCAAATATAGTAAAGGTTTTTTTAGATTAGCAGGAAATTCATCATCTGATTTTTTATTTTAATAATCAAATGTGTCAATGCTAGCTGATAAAGGAAATACAGATATAAATTAGACCTGTTAGTTGTTACCTGTTCTCAAGACCCTAAAATTTCATAAGACAAACAAAAATATAGAGGTCAAAATAAATTAATTGGCTGGAACAGAATCTGTTATCACTGAGAACAAATGTCTTCAGTTGACCAGTGTCATCATCAAAGTACAGAAAACAGACATGGAATACAAATTCAGTATCAAAACCACATGATACAGGGCGGGTCCAAAAAGTGCTAATTTGCCTAATAACCCTCATTTTTCAGACTTAATGTATAATTTCTTACTACATAATGAATTGCAAATACACTAAAATTAATTTTCTATTATCAACAGATGGACATTAAAGCTCAGGTATTATTCATTTAATTAAATTTATTAAACTCAAGTATGTTGAGGAATTTTCTAAGTGTTGTGGATAATATGAAAGAGCTAACTCATTGCACCTGCTTCAAGTAGAAACCAATGAGTCAGGCCTTGAAGTGATAGGGATGAAAAAAAAATAATGGCCCTGAGTATCTAGAATAGTGGGTCTGATAAGGTAGTACATGGAGATTGTTTTATGTAAACAGACTTAAACAATTACAAGGCTATTAAACACTGAAATTGAAACCATATCATCTCAGAAACTCAGAGATTCAATTTTCAACATAAACAAAGGGTGGCTCTATGAATTTTGATGCTTAAGAAAAGGTAGTTCATTATAAACCACTCAATTTGTCAGAGTTTTCAAGTCGTTGTTACACTGATAACAATCCAAGCTCTGTATTGGTTATATTCTATTCTTCCATGGCTGTCTGAGAGTACCTGGGTAATATGAAGTTTTTGGAGGCTAATTTTAAATGGCACAATGAGTTTCTTTGACTCTAGGTTTTGGTTTGAAGCTTTGCAAAAGATGAAGGAAACTTGCATGGTCTAATAATTGTAGGCACAAAATATCAACAAGGATTGAGATGAAGGACAACAAACATAATAGAGAAGCTATAGGAAACAGTGAATGAAACATGGGAGAAAAGCTATAACAATGCTTCTGAAGCCTTGCAGTAAAAAATAAAAAGCTATGATTGAAGGAGCTTTGCCTCTCTCTTTTTTTTTCCATTTATAACCTGTCATTCCTCTGGGTGTGTTATCACATCCTGCATTTAGTGGCAATAATCTGGCACTATGTGGAGCCAGGAATTCTGGGAACAGAAGAAGGCAAAGGATAACAGCATGAGCAATAACAGCATTTCTCCACTGAACTGAGTAAAGGGAAAGTACTGGAGCAGGATGGCATGTCTGTAAGTCAAAGGGAGAATGGGTTTGGCAGGATAGAAACAGAGAAGGTTTGAACACATTTGTTGGATGGCATGAGCAGAGTTCCATATTTAGATTACTGGACAATCCCAGGGGAAAATCTAGGTGTTTCTGAGTGTCTTTTTCGCAAAGCAAATTTATTTTTCAAGCTGTACATTATTTATTTTTCCTGCTGGTAAGGAGACCAGGGGTGGTTTTTTTACAGAGACACTTTGAAATGAGTGATAATATTACAGACAACATAGTGGATGCATTAACCAACAAGAAGATGCTGGTGATATTCACACGGTTCAGGGTCTCAGCATGAGAGTGTTAATCTCTTAGGGCACAATTGCAACTACAATTTTTAATTAAAAATTAAAAGAGCCTATATCCATGTATCCCTGTGATGTGTTACGGATCCAGACACAGAGCTAGGGAAATGTACATGTATAAGGTGGCAACTAGGTTTTTGAGAGAAAAAGACTAAAAAAGAAATGAAATTCTTAAAGAAAATGAATGTTCTGTAAAAACAACAAAACATCTTTTTCTTAAATTGGAAAAAAATTAATTTCATACCATGGAAGTGTTTCCATTCTTATTTTCTCCCCATTTTTGTGTTGCTTTTTACTTCCACATATACAAAGACAATAAATAAATAAATACAAATAAAGGAATAAATACAACTCAATGCAATACATGCTCTGCAAATCAATACATGTGGGAGATGTGTTTAAAAAAAAAGTAAATAAATAATTTCCATGTGGGTCAGACGAGTGAGGGCCCACAATAACGATCATCTTTTGGTCTCTAATGTTTTCCAGCAACCAGATGCCCTGAACTGCTGCAAAAGTCTCTTAAAGTCAAGCAAAGTTTATCAGGGGAACCAGCCCCCAATATATCAACATAGGTTCTTTTTTATTTTCCCTAAGTGTCGGCCAGTCTGAGAAATAAAGAGAAAGAGTACAAAGAGAGAAATTTTACAGCTGGGCCTCCAGGGGTGACATCACATGTCTGCAGGTTCCGTGATGCCCACCTGAGCCACAAAACCAGCAAGATTTTATTATGAATTTTAGAAGGGGAGGGAGTGTATGAATAGGGAGTGGGTCACAGAGATCACATGTTTCATAGGGCAATAAAAGATCACAAGGCAAGGGGGCGGAGCAAGATCACAAGGCAAGGGAGAAATTAGAATTACTGATGAGGTTCCATGTCCCACTGGGTATACATTGTCTTGATAAACATCTTAACAGGAAACAGGGTTTGAGAGCAGACAACTGGTTTGACTAGAATTTGCCAGGCTGGAATTTCCTAATCCTAGCAAGCCTGAGGGTGCTGCAGGAGACCAGGGTGTATTTCATCCCTATCTTCAACTCATAAGACAGACATTCCCAGAGCGGCCATTTTAGAGACCTCCCCCTGGGAATGCATTCCTTTCCCAGGATTATTCCTTGCTGAGAAAAGAATTCAGTGATATTTCTCCTATTCGCTTTCTGCAAGAAGAGAAATATGACTCTGTTCTGCCTGGCCCTGCAGGCAGTCAGACCTTATGGTTATCTCCCTTGTTCCGTGAACATCACTGTTATCCTGTTCTTTTTCAGGGTGCCCAGATTTCATATTGTTCAAACACACATGTTTTACAAAGAATTTGTACAGATAATGCAATCATCATAGGGTCCTGAGGTGACATACATCCTCAGTTTACAAAGATGATGGGATTAAGAGATTTAAGTAAAGACAGGCATAGGAAATTATAAGAGTATTGATTGGGGAAGTGATAAATGTCCATGAAATCTTCACAATTTATGTTCAGAAATTGCAGTAAAGACTAGTGTAAGAAATTATAAAAATATTAATTGGGGAACTAACAAATGTCCATGAAAACTTCACAATTTATGTTCTTCTGCCATGGCTTCAGCAGGTCCCTCCATTCGGGGTCCCTGACTTCCTGCAACAAAAGTTTATTGCCTTTAATGTAAAAACATGAATATATGGCAACAGCTGATTTTTGGAGGGACAATGTTTTCAAAAATCTAAATTTGCTGGTGAATGGTGGATATGTTTTCAGTCACTCAAGTGTTGGTTCAGATTTCAGCTTCTCCATCTATTAGCAAGACAACAATCAGAAATTTATGTAGATTTTCTGAGTATTGGTTTTCTCTTCTCTAAACCTAGGAAAACAATATAATTCTTATTATATATAAAGAATCTTGCATAATGCTTGGCATACCGACCTTCAGTTATTTTCATTTTCTTCTTTCCAAGTTGTTAAATATTACACTTGGGATAAATATTTATTGAAAATCTAATACAGGATAGATAATAAAGAAGATGGATTTAAATAAAGGTATTCTTACTAGTAGAAAAAACTAATCTACACACCATTGAGACACAAATCAAGCAATATAATATTAAACACTAAAGTTATGGTTTCTACAGTAGAAAAGTATAATATGCAGGCTATAAAAATAGCACAAGGCAATATGTAATTATATGGTAAATAGGAATTTAATTAATAGTATATAGAGGTAAAAGAAAATGGAGACTATTGATAATTGTACTGGTCAGGAAATAATTCATGAAGATGATAAGACTTAAGCCTAAAGAAGGGCAAGATTTGGGCAAAGTTAATAAGAAGCAACTGGAATTTTATAAGTAAAAGTTACATCAGAGTTATGTCTGCCACAGTGAAGACTAATACACAAGATTCATCATGAATACTTTATATTTACAAACAGTATGACCAGCATTCATTTCAGACTAAATAATCAAATATATATACATATATATATACACAAAAATATTGTATCACTGTTTCTTTAACATTAACAATTTTATTTTTATAAACTCTTATTTCTGCTGGAATCCTCCATAGCTTTTCCTAAATATTTACTTTCTTGATCGAACTCTACATAATCCTGCAATTTGGGATTTCTGTATTAAACTAAATAGCACTATCAAGATGTAGCTGTAGAAAAACTCTTACCATAGAAAGAAGTTTCATATTTTATATTTTTAATCTTATATTTTATAAATTTTCCATATGTTTTGTATATTTTATAAATTCCTAAATCATAGAATAGTTATATCACTCAGATTTCATAGTTATCACTATGACAAATATTATGTTTTTAGTTATTACAACTTAATTTTAGGTGTTTTTGCCCTAAAACACCAGATATAATTTTTGTGCCTGTATTTTTTTACCATTCATCTCCAACAAAAACAGACTTTTAAAAATTATATATATACAATTATATTTTAAGTTCTGGGGTACATGTGGAGAAAGTGTAGGTTTGTTACATAGGTGTACATGTGGAGAAAGTGTAGGTTTGTTACATAGGTGTACATGTGCCATGGTGGTTTGCTGCACCCATCAACCTCTCATCTACATTAGGTATTTCTCCTAATGCTATCCCTCTCCTAGCCCCCCACCCCACAACAGGCTCCAGTGTATGATGTTCCTCTCCCTATGTCCATGTGTTCGCGTTGTTCAACTCCCCCTTATGGGTGAGAACATGTGGTGTTTGGTGTTCTATTTTGGTGCTAGTTTGCTGAGAATGATGGTCTCCAGCTTCATCCATTTCCTGGCAAAGGACATGAACTCATCCATTTTTATTGCTGCATAGTATTCCATGGTGTATATGTGCCACATTTAATTTATCCAGTCTATCATTGATGGGCATTTGGGTTGGCTCCAAGTCTTTGCTATTGTGAACAGTGCCACAATAAACATACGTGTGCATGTGCCTTTATAGTAGAATGGTTTATAATCCTTTGGGTATATACCCAGTAATGGGATGGCTGGGTCAAATTGTATTTCTGTTTCTAGATGCTTGAGGAATTGCCACACTGTCTTCCAAAATGGTTGTACTAATGTACACTCCCACCAGCAGTGTAAAAGCGTTCCTATTTCTCCACGTCCTCTCCAGCATCTGTTGTTTCCTGAGTTTTTAATGATCACCGTTCTAACTGGTGTGAGATGGTATCTCATTGTAGTTTTGATTTGCATTTTTCTAATGACCTGTGATGATGAGCTTTTTTTCATTTGTTTGTTGGCTGCATAAATGTCTTCTTTTGAGAAGTGTCTGTTCACATCCTTTGCCCACTTATTGATGGGGTTGCTTTTTTCTTGTAAATTTTTTTAAGTTCCTTGTAGATTCTGACAAAGATTAGCCCTTTGTCAGAAGAATATATGGCAAAAATTATCTCCCATTCTGTAGGTTGCCTGTTCACTCTGATGATAGTTTCTTTTGCTGTGCAGAATCTCTTTAGTTTAATTAGATTTCATTTGTCAATGTTGGCTTTTGTTGCCTTTGCTTTTGGTGTTTTTGTCATGAAGCCTTTGTCCTTTCCTATGTCCTGAATGGTATGGCCCAGGTTTTCTTCTAGGGTTTTTATGGTTTTAGGTCTTACATGTCAGTGTTTTTTTATTAGTTAATTTTTGTATAGGGTGTAAGGAAGGGGTCCAGTTTCTGTTTTCTGTATATGGCTAGCCAGTTAAAAAACAATCTCAACAAAGTTATTGCACTGAAAAGAATTAACTGTATTTACTAAATGTTATCTAGGACAGGGGTCCCCAACCCTGGGGCTGCAGATGGGTTCCAGTCTGTGGCCTGTTATGAACGGAGCCACACAGCAAGAGGTGAGTGGCAGGCAAGCAAGCATTACCGCCTGAGCTCTACCTCCTGTCAGATGGGCAGCAGCATTAGATTCTCGTAGGAGCATGAACTCTATTGTGAACTGCACATGTGAGGGATTTGTGTTGTGTACTCCTTCTGAGAATCTAACTAATGCCTGATGATTTAAGGTGGAACAGTTTCATCCTGAAGCCATCCCCACCTCTCCACCCTTTGTCTGTGGACAAATTGTCTCCCACAAAACTGGTCCCTGGTACCAAAAAAGTTGGGGACTGTTTATCTAAGACCTTGTTTCTGTTGAAATTTCTATAGTAATTTCAAGCCGTTTTTTGCAATTTATATTTGAATCAAGATATAGATGGGTTTGTGTTTGCATGATATATTATTATCTCCTTTGTTCTGTAACAGATTCCCCTCCCCTAACTTTTATGCTATTTAATGGTTGAAGAAGTTGGATAATTTGTCGAGTAGACTTTGGGTGATTTCACCTTTATGGTGTTTTCTAACATGTGCATCTATCCTCTGCATTTATTGTAAACTGGTGATTCTAGGTAGAGACCTTATTAATATTATATATTTTGGGGGGCAGACGACTTCATTTTAACAGGCTGTGTACGTTGTATTTCAGCAAATGAAGTGGCATGTAAAACCTGGTTTTCTGACATTTAGTCATCTTAGGTTTTTTTGTTTTTTTTTTTTTGAGTTTTTATTTGCATAAATTTAAGAGGTACAAGTACACTTTTGTTACATGGCTATATTGCATAGTGGTTAAGTCTGGGCCTTTAGCATTCCATCATCCATTAGAAAGTCGGCAAAGAACATGAATAGACATTTTTAAAAGAAGAAATATAAATAGCCCAGAGGCATATTAAAAATGCTCAACATTACTAATCAGAAAAATGCAAATTAAAACCAAAATAAGATATAATCATACATCAGTTAGAATGGCTATTATTAAACAGACAAAAAATAACATGTTGGTGAGGATGTGGAGAAAAGAGAATGCCTTATACATTATTAGTTGGAATGTAAAATAGTCAACCTCTATGGAAAACAGCATGTGGATTTCTCAAATAACTATAAATTAGTCATATCAAGTTTGATCAGTGAGTTCTGATTTGTTCTCCTTAATCTATTTTTCTTCGAAATTTTTTTACCATCTAGTTTTGCCTAATACTGATGTATTTTGTGTAGATCAATTATTTTATTTGGGGGGCACAAATCATTATATTGTAACTGTCATTCTTTCTGGAGTCCTTCATTTAACTCTCACTCATCAGTTTTCATTACCCTGAAAAGGAATTGCACAGGAAACCAAGTATTAATGTTTGATTACATTCATGCATTTATCATTTTCAGGATAACTAATTGCATCTGCTTGAATGAGTTATATTTTTTATTCAGTTTGATGCTTCAATTATCTCTGCTGTGGTCAGTGACTGCTCTTTTAAGTTGGTTCCTTTGTTTTGTGTAGACACATTAATACTTTCCAGGCTTTCTGACAAAAATAAAATGTCCCAGGGTCATCTCATAAATGTCTTGACCTAGATCTATAATCAACTATTTCTCCAAAGAAATCTTTTCACTAAAAGGAAAATCATATTTAGAGATTACAGTCTGAAGGCTCCATTTGTTCATTGTTTCCAGCTTGTTGTAATTCTAGGACTTTTCAGAAGGCAGAGCTAGGAAATAATTACTATTTAGAAAATTTGAAAAAATCATATGTTTATATTTTTTAAATTGAAGTCTATTTTCTTATGTCTCATATTTGTATTTTATTGGATTGCACACAAAATATTCTCTTAATGACTTTTATATTATTTTTATTTGCTTTATCATATATCTATATCCAATAATATTTCCAAAATAATAGCCACATTGTCCTTAATAAAACTAAAACTATTGATGGAATTTAAAATTGTTTTGGTTATTGTTCTAGTTTAAGAATCTCCAGAAGAATATATAAAGTTGTTTGAAATACTTTTTTGTGTTATTATAGTAGTAATTTGATTTAAAAGTTATATTCATTGATTTCAACTTACTTTTAGCTTTTAGTTTGTATGGAAAATTGATTTCTTTAGACCTCCTTCATCCTTTTCAAGGCGGTGGGGTTTTTTTGGCTTTGTTTTATTTTTCATATGGGATTAGATATTTATTCTAGATACATTTTTCTTTGTGGGTCTCAATTGTTCCTCCAGAATCACCACCTACAGACTTATAAAAATGCCTTATTTATAAACTTGATGCTCCACACAGCATTACTTCTGACTAAATAACATTTTACAGCAAGATAAGAACAGCAATCTGATCAAGTCGATGTAAATCACTCATCCCACCACATGTCCTGTTATCCAGAAGCATGTGTCTTGACAGACTAAGGGGATGGTTTGCTGAAAGTTCAATGCAATCACCTGCTGGAAGATAGACACTTCCGTGGCTGGAGTATGACCGTCAACCAATGACCAATATTTGATGTTATTTCCCCCACTGCTTGATTGCAGTATTTTTCTTTATCTTCTTTTCACAATCACCTGCACCACTGTGGGTCTTATGGATCTCCTTGATATAAACAGTTTGGAAACTCACTTGTATTCTGAAGTATTTGGGCATATTAAGTCACTGGTTTTGTTGAAATATTGTTCTCTATTCTCGTCCTAATTGATCTGCTTCTTTCAGTGAAGGAATTTTGGCAAATGTCTGAACACAACTGAATGATCATTTTTCCACAACTGATCACTTACTTGAACTACAGTAGGATATTACTCATTGAAATCTAGCTTTCAATTCACAATGTCAGCAGATCATTTTCTCCTGTCTTTAGGAGAGTATTCCTGAATAATTTCAGTTTGGAGTTACCAAGACTTAATTTATAGCTCTCTTACTTGTTTAATGTGAGAATTTGGATAATTTACTCAATTTTTAGAAACTTCAGTTATAATTTCTGTAAGAAAGATGATGATCTTACTTATCACAGAGAGTAAAGGATAAATTAGTGGCTTAGAGTTCTAGCCACTTTGCTGAGACATGGACATTTGCCTTTTTTTTGTCATTGTGGTTTAATCTTTTCTCATTCATTAACATTTCAATTTGTTAATAACATTAATTAAGAAACTGCTTCTGTTTGCTTTGTAAAGGCTGTACATTGGGAGTAAATTCCTTAAGAAGAAAATTCTCTAGCATCTAAAACATTGAAAGGAGCAGGCTTGATTTATTTCTTTTCAATAGAATGTTTACCAAATATATGTTGTCCAATAACAATTCCATCAAGAAAATTCTGGCAGCAAGCCACCAGAAAACCTAACTACATTGGCTGAAGAGATTCATTTCATTAAAACTATTGATTGCCCATTTCTCTGAAGTACTTACATTGAATTTGTCATATCAGACAAATGTGGTTTAAAAATAGTCACTGACAAAGACAGTAGAGTTTGTGTATATAATATATATTTGTAGCAGACGTGCAGAACTTTAAAATATAAATTCTTAGAAATTGAGGACCATGTTGTATTTTCTGTATCTCTCCTAAACATATTGCGAGAGATCAATAAATACTAAACAAACACATTGTGCTTCCACAAAACTGGACATGAATTTATGAAGTGACAATACAAGCACCAGGCAAAATATCTCATTTGGAACTAACCATGTGAAGAGGCAATAGGGAGCAGATTAAAGGGCGCAGCTGTCTCATTCCACAACTTTAGTTGGAAAACAGCCCAGAGAATATGGGAATATGTGACTCTACATCTTTTCTATAGGCCTAGCTCCTCTAGGTGTCACTGGGTTTTACAATAGCACCTTTCCTATTCACTGCAGCTCTGTTATGCTCAAACATTGACAGCAGTTAGTTCTTCTACTTATCGAACTAAAATTTTAGTACGATACTTGTTCCCTCAAGGACTAATGAAAAGGCGGAAAAAAAAAAAACTACTACATTCAATTCAGTTTCAGATGACTTTGGGTTGATTGTATACAAGATGAGAGCAGAGATGTTAAAGTAAATGAAAAACTCAGGAGTTCATATTTTCTTTAAACAATATTTTACAGTTTTTTTTCACATAGTAAAGCTATGTCTTTAATCTTGAATTACAATAACATACAATTTATCTGTTCACTTATTAGATATTAGTAGGTAAACTAGGCATTTTATAATTACTACTATACAGCTATTAATTGTTTTAATAATATGATTTTTCTTTGTAGCACTTTAAAAAATATAAAAATATTTTATAAACATAGTCAACGACTCTTTAAAGCAGGAAAGACTGGTTCTTTTTCTCCCCCAATCTAGAGATAAAAAAACACCTGTTCTTTAGAAAAATTATGTAATTTGGATTAGGTCATTAGCTGGCAAGTATAAGATGCCAGGTGTGAACTCAGGTCTCTAGACTCTGTCCACTCAGCCACACTTTTCAAATAACACATTGATTTAGTAAATTCATTAGTGAGATATGTATTGAGTGTCTATTATGTGCCAAGAATAACTATTGTGCTGAGAATAGCAGAAAAATTCACTATCCTCTGAGGCCCTGTACCTGCATGAAATAAATACATAAATAAAGTGATCATAAAATATAACACAATAAAAGTAACACACAGGGTGAGAGATACAGGAGGCCAGAGAGGGCTTCTAGGCATAAGCTTGTCAGATCGAGCAAATAAAAATACAGGGCACCAGTTAACTTCAAGTTTCTGATAATCAACACATTTTCTATTTGTATATTTTGTCCTACGCAGTATTTGCAACCTTCGCCATCTTTACAGTAACAAAAACTTGTTGATCTGAAGTTCACATCTAATTGGACATTTTGTATTTTATCTGGCAATCCTATCTGGGAGGTGACATTTGAGCTAAGACCTGAATGAAATGAAAGAGCCAGCTATTCAAAGATCCAGGTGAAGAACGTTTCAATAAAGGAATCCACGAAACTCTCAAAAAAAAACTCAGGAAGCCAGTGTGTCTCAGTCTTGATGAAGAGGCTAACATAATGTTGGGCAGGGAAGCTGAAGCTAGATAATACAGAGACCTCGGATAACGAATTTGGACTATATTCTTAGTACTCCATGTACCTCTGAAGAAGTTATAAGCTAGAGAGATATTATCTGATTTATGCTTGAAAAATAATCCTCTGGCTTCTTTATAGAAAAGAGATTGAAGAGTGGAGCAAGAATTGATGCTGGGGCCGGGCACGGTGGCTCACACCTATAATCCCAGCACTTTGGGAGGCCGAGGCGGACGGATCACGAGGTCAGGAGATTGAGACCATGCTGGCTAACACGGTGAAATCCCGTCTCTACTAAAAATACAAAAAAAAATTAGCCAGGCGTGGTGGCGGGCGCCTGTAGTCCCAGCTACTCAGGAGGCTGAGGCAGGAGAATGGCGTGAACCTGGGAGGCGGAGCTTGCAGTGAGTTGAGATCGCGCCACTGCACTCCAGCCTGGGCTACCTTCGTCTCAAAAAAAAAAAAAAAAAAAAAGAATTGACGCTGATGATTAGAAGGCTCTTTCCTAGGTCTGGGTGAAATAATCTTGGTTTGGAATCAGTGGTAGTGGATACAGAGAAGCACATGGATTTGAAATTGGCATTTCAGACGGAACCTAGGAAATTTACTAATAGGTGTAGTATGAGACAGGAAAAAAGGAAGAAATTCACCATGACTCGTAAGTTTTTGCCTTAAGCAACTAGATGTAGAGTGATGACATTTCTTGATTGGGAAGAATTGATAAGTTAAAAATTGGGGTGGTAGTGGTAATCAAATAATCTCTTTTCAGCATATTGAGCCATCTGTTGGATTTAGAAATGGACATGCCAAATCAACAATTTATTCTCATCTAAGAGGCAAGATAAAACCTGTCAATAAAAGTAATGTTTAGAGCAAGGCCAGGATGATATCACAAAGAAAAACAATTTACCTAGAGAAAAATCAAAAGGTTCATGACACAGGCTCATGCGACTCACTGTTTAAAGAAGGAAGAATTAGCAATAGACAAAGAGGACCTAAGAAGTTACGGGAGAAATCAGAAAGATTGTGCCAAAGAATCCAAGATAGAAAAAAATTTCATAAACAACATGGTAATCAGGAATCTTTATCGACTGCTGAGATTTAGAATAGGTTTGAAAAAAAATGTATACATTGATTTGGCCAAATGGGGGTCTTCTTTCACCTTTAGAATTCTTCAGAGGTATTAAACATTCCAAATAAAATTATGAAATATTTTGTGACGAAAATCTGGGTTAAGTTATATTTACATTGCTATTTTTTAGGGGTTACAACCCTACAAACTCTCTAATATATTAAAACGAGTTAAGCCACTAATTTTCTAAAGTATTCTTTCCTATTTACACTTTTCTTTCTTTACTGAGAACTTCTTTAGCATCTATTACATATAATAACTAGACTTTTATGGATTAAAAAATTCTAGGATATATTTCTTAACCCCAGGAAAGAAGGTAAGTAGAAGAAATAGAAAGTCTATAAGAAACCATAGAATACACTTTCCTAAGTGTTAAACTAGAAATAATGATGAAGTAATATAAAATTTTACTGTGAAAATTCAGTGCACCTATCTTTAAACCAGAACACTACATAATACAGCAAATGTTGAATTCGAATTTAAAAAGTTATCTGTGAGTCACTGCTCTTTCTTCATAATCTCTCGAAACTAAATCTGATAAATTACTTGAAAAAACATTAACTGCTGTATTTCCCACATCTTTGGTCCTTCATAATGAAAAATTAGAGCTACATTATTAAAGTAGTTGATGTCAGATTTGCCATAAAACTTAATTATTTATTGTAGCATAGAGTGTAGTATATCATTACAGGGGCTTCAAAATACATTAAGTGTATCACTTACAATGTTCGCAGTAATATATAACTATCTTTGATCTGAATAATCCAACTGCATTCTCTGAACTTTGTCAATGTAATCTTGCTACATCCACTGAAAAACAACAAAATAAGATGTGTTCCACCACTGTCTAGGATTTACTGCATAGCATTGCACTTCACACATCAATCTATATCTGCACCTTCTCCACAGGCAGCAGCAGCACCAGCAGATCATCTGATGATCGTGATGCATGTTTAGGCTTCATGGTTTTGTAGCCAACTAGAATGTGTTATAGATTTCACAAGGATAAAATTTCGGAAAAAAAAAAAAAAACCATGTAGTTATTCTGTCCACAATGCATAACTGAAAGAAGTTCCTTTGAGAAAATAGTCTTAAAGTAGGAGTTTGGTTGTGACTACCATTACTGAAGTGTCGAGGGAATGGAATACTGTTGAATTATAGAGAGAGGGGGAAAAATCTCAAGTTAAAAATGGTTAGATATGTAATTGTCTCAACAACTGACTTGAAGTCTCCACCACTTTTAAACAAAAACATGTCTATGAACTAGAGTCTTCAAAAAGAGGTATCAATTTTTTTATACATTATGATATGAAGCAGCTCATGACTATACTTAGAAATTAATTGGTATTGCTCATAAAAAGATACCAAATATATCAATACAAATAGTTTCTGTATCTTTTCCACAATAGTTTAGACACAACTACAAAAACTTTGATATGTGATTATTATTATCACAAAGCAAATGTCACAGAAACCATACCTTCAGTCACCCAAGTAAATAAGAAAATGGCAGTATAATTCTACCAAAGTATTTTCAATTGATTAGCTCTGTCATTAAAATCATTTTCAGATGCTAGTGCTACTGTCTAAAAAAAAATAAAATAATTTTGGTGCTGGCAAAAAAATTACCGCTACCATGACTTCTGCTACTGTTACTAATTTACTAATATTTATTTAAAACGTAACAACATTTCTAATCATTTAGCATGCATTATATCTTTTAATCATCACAATATTGGTATAAGTTGATTATTTTCCTCATTTTTATATTGAGAACTTGGACTCCGATAATTTAATGGAACTGCTCAACGTTGTCAGTGAGTGTTGAAACAAGAATTCAACAAATGCTGGGGTTCCTCAGACATCTGCTCTTAGCTTTCTGTGTAAACATAACATTTTATCCAAAGGAAGATATCAAACAAACATCGTTACAAATAGATCAGTATAATCCTTAAAATTGACAATATACCCATATTTTAAAGCACAATATTTTCTCTTTTACCATATCTTAATAATTATATTTTTATTATTTACCAAATATACTATGATTTAAAACATCAAACAGTATTTATGGGGATTCTTCTGTGTTGTCAATTTCTACTCTTCATTTCCACTCCACAGAGGGAAAGACTTTTAACAGTGTTAGCTCTTTTGTACGGTTATATAAATAATATGCTTCAATATTTTCTCACATTATCTTCCCAATGTGGATATGTCATAATATTTAATTATGTAAATATTTCATTTTTACTTAATTATGCCTATGTACATATTTTTCAGTGTTGTGCCAAGTAGTGTACTATGACACCATTTTCTTTCTGCACACTTGTTTCCCTATTTACTTCAAGTTTTTATTTCTCTGGTGTTTCATATTGCTATTTATAATTCTTCCAAATTTCCTATCAGAATGCAATTTCCCACATAGTGAAGCACATCAGGTGATATATCAATTCCAATTTATTTTCTTTCCTGCAGTCATTCCTCTTGGCACCCTCTCTTCTTCTGCCCCTATTTGTACTCTAGTTCCCTGGGCCAGCAGCACAGCTGGCTCTTCTTTCTGATCTTCTTTGGATCATTTTTCTCCTTCATTTTGCTAGAATGTGGCTTCCAGAAAAGTACTGGTAATGATTTGCATAGATGGCACATTTTTGTAAGCTTGAAAATGCTTTTATTTTACCTTCATTTTTATTTGAGGTTTGAACTGAATAAAGAATTCCAATTGAAAATTATTTTTCTTTATAATTTTGAAACATTGTACTTTTGACTTCTAACTTGTGGTGTTGCTGTTCAGAAATTCAATGCCATATCAACAATTATTGTTCAAAATATATTTGTCATTTTTTCTTCTTATTAGCATCCTTATTTTATATTCACTCTTCAGGGAGCTCATGAAACACGTTTTGAGATACCATGCTTCAAAAATATTTTTACATTTGTCATGATCAGGAGCTAGTGAGCAAAGTTTACGACAAGCAGAATTAAAGATATGCTTCAATGGGAAACATGCATTGGACATTAGAGAGTATATATTTCTCTGGAATGATTTAAAGTCCTTTCTCTTCAAGAGCTGTTGCTTCAGATTCAAGAGAGATGAAAGAAAGCTAAATACTTTCTCCTCTTTCTAGATTTATTTATTTAAGCATTCCAGACCTTTGCTCTTTTGTGCTCTTTTGTGCTCCCTGCTCTGTGGCTCTCTCTCTCTATTTCCATCCCACCCCTCCCCTTTTTCTCCACAGGGAAGGATGTGCTATCCTTCCTTTGTAAGCTCCAGGAATTATTTTGGTATTTCTCTCCTGGAGCTCAGACTCTACTCATCTTCACGCTAGAGCAAGCCCAGTCCATTAAAGCTCTCTTTGAGGAAGTGAGATGTGGTGAACTGGTACTATGATGCTACTCTTTGTGCTTTTATTGACATGTGTATTAAAGTCCAATATCTGATCTAGGTTTTGTAGATATATTAACATGTAAGTAGAATAAAATCTGAGACATTTGCAATTTCAGATGCAGCAGTACATTCACTGTGGTAATTTTTCCTAATTTGTTCTGGATATCTTCAATCTAAACTTCTATTCCCTTCAGTGGAGGATACTCTCATGAATTAGTTTTTGATTTTTATCTTCCTCACATTTTGAGTATTATCTTCTCCACATTCCTTTGTTCTCTTCTTCTAGGGCTTCTGTTAGTAGTATGTTGCACCAGACTCTAGTTTTTAAATTTTTCTTTAAAATTCTCCACTATTGTTTACAGTTAATATTGTTAGCTATATATAAACAAATAAGATTTTTGTCTTTTTGGAACTTAGGGAATATTTATTGCAATTGATTTATATATTTTAAAACTTGTTATTCACAATATATTATTAAAAAGTGAACTACCAGAATGCCATATATTATGTGATAACAGATCATATAATTTAGAAATATGAATAAAATACAAAACATCTTGTTGAAAAAGCAGAGTCACATGGAAGGACAATTTTTTAAAAATGTACTAGAATTACATGAGTAGCTGTATGAATTGTTTTTAGCTGCTATAAAAAGTGTTTCTAGGGTAAGTTTTCTTGTTAAATAAACTTCTACTATTTGTAGTATGTGCTAAATTTTTTAAGGGACACTTGCCTTTTGATCTTTATTCAACATAGAAATTTGTATTTTTAAATCAAATGTTGCCTTTAAAAAATTAAGGTAAACTTCACATATGAATATTGGATATATATACTTTAAAATATTAATATCACTATAAATGTGGATAAAACTAATGATTTACTATTGATGTAATGTTGACAATGATTTTATCTTGACATAAGTAATTTATTGCTAAGTGTAATGCTAAAAGTTCAATTTTTTTTCATTTTTAATCATGTTAGAAAAAATACCATACCATCTTAATTAATTCTAAGTGTGTAGTTCAGTAGTCATAAGTATATTCACATTTTTTGTGCAACAAATCTGTGTAACATTTTCACTTTGCGAAAGTAAAACTCTAAACCCATTGAAAACAGCTTCACATTTCTACCTCCCTGCTAAAAACCACCATGCTACTTTCATTTTCTATGAGTTTGACAATATTAGATAACTTGCATAAATAGAATTATATACCATTTTGTGACTGGCTTACTTATCTTAGCATAACGTCTTTAAAGTTCTTCTATATTGTAGCAGGTGACTAACATTCTATTATATGCAAATGGAATATTATTGTATGGAAATATCATTTTTTATTAATTCATTCATTTATGGGCATTAAACTTGTTTCTACCTCTTTGCTATTGTGAATAGTGTTGCAATGAACATGTAAGTGATAATATCACATCAAGATCCTGATTTCAATTGTTTTAAATAAATACCCAGAATTGAAATTGCTGAATCTTATGGTAGCTCTATTTTTAATATTTTGAAAAATTTCTATTCTGTTTTCCATAGCAGTTGCTTGTACCAGTTTGCATTCCCACCAATAGGGCACAAAGGTTCCAATTTATCCACGTTCTCATAAAACTTGCTGCCTTTTTTTTTTTTTTTTTTTTTTGTGGTAACAGCCATCCTAACGTGTAAAGTGATATCTCTTTGTGGCTTTGATTTGCCTTTTCCTGACTGTAAGTGATTTTGAGTATCTTGTTTATATATCTGTTGGCCATTTGTATGCCTTCTTTGGAGAAATGTCTTCAAGTATTTAGTTCATTTTTAATGAAATTATTAATAGTCTGCTACTCAGTTGTAGGGATTACTTTTATATTTTTGGATTTAATCTCTCACCAAATATATAGTTTCCAAATATTTTCTCTCATTTGGTAGGTTGTTTTTTCACTCTGATTGTTTCCTTTGCTTTGCAGATAGATATATAGACCAATGAATAGAATTCAAAGCCTAGAAATAAATCAGCACATACATAGCCAACTGATCTTCAATAAAAGTGACAGGAATATACAAAGGGGAAAAGATCATCTCTTCAATAGACAGCATTGGGAAAACTGAATGGCCACATGAAAAACAGTAAAATTAGACTCTTAACACCATACACAAAAATCAATTCAAAATGGATTAAATAATTAACTGTAAAACCTGGAAGTATAAAACTACTGAAAGAAAATGTAGGGGAAAATCGTTATGACATTGGTATTGGCAATAATTTCATGAATATGACACCAAAAGCATACAAGAAAGCAAAAGTAGGCAAGTGGGATTATATCAAACTAAAGTTTTGTATTTAAAATAAAATAATAAACAAATTTGTCAGTGCAAGCCACAAATGTTTCTTTCTGATATGTATGAGTCTGTTTGTAGAGTCATGACTATAAATGTACAAATTTTAACACATGCTCTGGTTAAATTTTCCTTCATTTTTATGAGCTCAACAAAATTAAGTACTCTTAATAACAATAATCATATTAATAATTACATAATGTTTATTTGCACAGATACGTGCATGTATGTATGTATGTATGTATATAGAGGTATCCATCACTTAATGATGGGGATAAGTTCTGAGAAATGTGCCACTAGGCAGTTACATCATTGTGTCAACATCATAGAGTGTACTCACACAAACCTAGATGGTATAGCCTATTGTTCCTAGGCTACAAACCTGTACAGCATGTGACTATACTAAATAATGTAGGCAATGTGACACAGTGGTATTTGTGTATCAAAACAGAAAAGATACAGTAAAAGTGTATTATTGTAATCTTATGGAACCACCATTGTAATATGGATTATCACTGACCAAAACAGTATTGTGGCATAACTGTATATTATATACAGTATAATACAGAGAGAGTATATAGTATGTACACTATATCGTTCATATTACTTATTTCCTATTATTTTCCAAAATAAGAGTTCCATGGATAATCAAAGCCATTAGTTAATGACTTTATCTACTAGACTTGCTATAAGGGCTTTAGGTCTCCTGTTTCTTTGGTTTTAGATATTGAACTTACTGATTAGTTTTGATGATTCTGATTAGTCAACAAAACCCTGGGCATAAAGGAATCCTAGGGAACTAGTGGACGTTTTCCCAGCATTTCACATGAGAAATTATCTGCCCAAAATAAAACTTTATTAGTGTCCTCTTTCCAATCATATCCATGTGACACTTGACGTTTTAAGGAATAATTTTATTTAACCCTCTAATATTATAAAATTACTGTGAAATATATGTTCATATTAAGATTTTGCAATTCTAATTAGTGGCAAGAGAAAATAGACAATAGAATTAATTCATCTAAAAAGGTGTGCTAGGCTGGGCATGGCGGCTCAAGCCTGTAATCCTAGAACTTTGGGAGGCTGAGTAGGGGAGATCACTTGAGCTCAGGAGTTCAAGACCAGCATAGGCAACATGGTGAAACCCAGTCTCTACAAAAAATACAAAAAAGTAGCCGGGTGCTCACCTGTAGTCCCAGCTACTTGGGGGGCTAAGGTGGGAGGATCGCTTGAGCCCAGGAAGTCGAGGCTGCACCCCAGCCTGAGTGACAAAGTGAGAGCCTGTCTCAAAAGTAAATAAATAAACAATAAAAAAATAAAAAGTTGTGCTAATTTGTTCTCATAATTATTTTGTCCTCTTAAAATATCTTTGATGGTTTGTTTCTGGCTTAACTGTGATGCCTGGTTCTCAAAGAAGTTTTTATTTTTGTGGTTATAAATTAACACATACTGGCTTGATTTAAACATATGAGTTTACTGTGTTGCTAGTAAAAGAAAGGGTATTTTAGAAGCTAGAAATGTCCTATACAGAAAGAGTGAGAAAAAACATAATATGCATGCTCCATCTTCCCTACAAAGATTTAACTCCCAAACTCGAGTTAGCAATAACGTTATAATTAATTAATATCAATAATTATCTCAGAGACGGTGTGCAGTTTTTTTTCCCTCTCCATGGCTTGCGTCCTCATTCAAAAGACAGATTGCCTGGCTTCAACCCCAGGTTCTAGCCTTGCTGATTAGGCAATTTTGAAAGAACTTCTTCACTTCTTCAAGGCTCAGTTCCCTTCTCTCTAAAATAAATGTAGTAATAGTGCCAATTTCACAGCTATTTTGAGGATTAAATTACATAATAAGGGTAAAGTACTTAAAATGCCACAGGCGTGGAATAATTGTTAGTTGTTGTTACTGTCACTGCTGCTGTTGATGTTGTTATCTATCACCTTTACAAAACTTTAGCTACTAGGAAGTTTTCCTCACATTAAGACAAAACTTACATTATGTAAATTGTTTTTTCCTCATATATTATGTAATCCCTAGAAATTTGTTTTTCTTATTGAAGATAGTCAAGATGAAGCTAGGTAAGATTTGGATAATACTTTCCATGAAAAGTAAGATGTGTTTAAAGCTTCCAACAGTTCTTAGAATTTTTGAAATCGTTAGGTTAAGGCTTTGAGTGACCATGTCATTTATTGTTCAAACTAAGACATTTTTGAAAGTGAAAAGGAAGGTTAATTATACAGGGACAATAGCTAGAATATATTACTGCACTTCATGTATGAAAAAAGAGAGCGACTCACAAAGTCATGTTAATATATTCTTTTTTAAAAAAAACAAATAAAATACCAATAGGAAACTTTTGGAATGTTCAATCTCAAAGAAGTAGTTGTGCTGTTACCTGTAAAAGGCTAGAAAATGAAGGGAGTATGAGTCCTTGTGTGTAAGCCTGTCCCACTGCAAATAGATTATGGTTTAGAAAATAATTTTAATTGTAGCTCTCTAAAATGCCCTAGATATTTCCATGGTGTTATGGGAGATAAGAGTACATCTTAGAATATTTAAACTGGAACATTTATTGCAGTTTCTCATATTATATATGAAATTGTGAGTGAAGTATAAATAAACTCAGCCAAAGTCATATTAGTGTTGGAACCAAGGTTCTGATTATAGGCCTCTTTCAGCTTCATCACAATGTGTCACAAAAGTTGTCAGAAGCAAAAAAGGCAGATTAAAGGAGGGACTTCATAACGTACACAAAATCATGTTATTGATGGTGGTGACAGAAAAGTCATAAAAAGTGAGGGTTAAACCAAGCTATGCTCCTGTTTTTCACATTTTTCTAGACATCAAGTAATAGAGTAGTTTAAAAAGAGAGAATCAAGTAAATTACTAGTTGACTCCAACTTGAACAGAGAGCATGAAGAAGCAGTATGGAATGCCAACAGTTCCGTGGGAGCTCTTGTGCTTCACGTGTTGAAAACACTTCATTCACGTTAAGTTCTTACTAGGTACATATTATTTATGCTATTTTATTCCTATATTTATATTTTAGATATATGATTGTATTCTCTTCTATTTAAGGACATAAGTTCCCCAGATAAAATAGATTTACATAGCTGATTTAAATCACCAAATAGGATTCTACAAGCATCATTTCCAATTTCTCTAAAGTCTCCTAAAGTGGTACAACTCTAGCTCCTCAAATTTTGGAAGGTGATGGGAATGTTATTCTATGATAAATAGAGCACGTGAAACTATCTACTTTTGTATATATACAAAGTCACCTTTTCTTGCTATAAGATTATTGAACACAATTTCAATTTGGAGTTTTTATCATTAGTTATGTTTAACCAATGCCAACTGTGTAATACTCACCGGACTTAACACTTTAGATTAAAGTGGAAAATAATATTGTATGCATTTACATATGGAATAATAATAAATGAATCACCTGCAGACAAATCTGCAGAAACAAGTCTATTTGTCTGTTTTTCTGGCTGGAAATATACATACATGTCGGCTTTATACTTATATAATATTGATAAATATTTATCCCCTTTATGAAGAAAAAAACATTTTACATGCTAAAAAGTGTTACAACATCTTTTGCTTCTGAATTTCCTGATACTATTTAGGTTGGAAAAGATCCTGAGTACATAGATTTATGATAATGTTAAAAAGTAAGAGTATATTAAGGTGTTTTATTAAAAGTATCTGTATTTGTTGATGTTTATGTTTTAGGAAAAACAGACAAACAAAAAAACTGTGAACAAAGAAAGAGTAGGAAAAATTAGACATCCAACATGGACTTTGCTTCCTCTTCTCCCTTCACCAAATTTCCAATCTATAATGATGGTTTATAACATAATTAACTGGGAGTTATTTATGCTCAGCACTCATTGAGCTACACAATTGTCCTGGTTTCTTTGGTAATTGTCTCTCCAAAGGTAGCAGGGTAAGCACAAAGAAACAGTGTGTAGGCTAAAGAACGTAATTTATTTAATGAAGTCCAGGAAAAGAAAATCTCTGCAAATAGACACTCAAGGAGTTTAGAATATTGCAAGTGTCTACCTTCCCCAGTTATTCAGACAACTACAATTTTCAGGAGATTGAGCCAAATGTTCTTAACCCAGTACTCATTATTTTTTCTAGTTGGCTATATTGCTAAGCATTATATTATTATGAATAGGAGTGATATGGCAAACACATGAAAATTCACACATGCTTGTGAGCTTTGTTCTTCTCCCTACTTGAAGGTAATTGCTTTGGGAACAGCAAGCATTTCCATGATTCTGGTTTTACTCAAACTATTTTTGATACTGATGGCAGCAACCGCTCCAGATAGCCTTCCACTGCTATCACACTGGCTGCAGCAGGGAGGTGTGGCCCGGCCTCCTACTCCACAGAGCAGGCAGAAGCAACACCCTCCTGGGTGGGGCTGTAGCAGCCCAAGTTGTGGCTGTAGATCTCAGTCTCCCTGAGCTCTCGAGGGGCTGGGAGTGGGCAGAAGCCATGCCCTCCCAGGCACAGCTGTAGCCACCCAAATTGCAGCTGCAGACTGAGACATCCCTACACTCTTAGGGGCCTGGGAAGGACTTCCTGCCCTTTCAGGCTCAGAAGTTCCTGCTCATATTGCCTGGCTTCTCCCTGCTCTTGGCACCTGCTCCAATCTTGGAGCAAAGTTGGGGCTGAGCCTGGGCATCAGGCTCAAGGAGGGCATGAAGCCTGGGGGCCAGGCTGCCAGTCCTATAGACTGGAGTGGGAATATGTGGTGCCTTTTCCGGGCCCATTCTTAGTCACTCATGAATGAATAGTCACACACTTCCTCTCCTCTGAGGCTCATAAAAGCCCCAGGATCAGCCACAGCTAAGCAAAAGATGGTCAGTAGCAGAGACAAGCTACCTGCTCTGCCGAGAGCTTCAGAGACCTTCAGAGATGTTGGGACTACCATCTGCAGAGAGGAGCAACCCACTCCAGGGCATTTTCTCTGCTGAGAGCAGCAGATTTTAGGATGATTGATGTCTGAGCAGAGAGTAGCTACCCTCTCCAGGGCCTCCTCTCTCCTAAGAGCTGAACACTCTATGGGGTGACCTGCCTACAGAGAAAAGCTATCCACTGCAGGTATCCTCTGAACTGTTCTAACGCTCAATAAAGCTACTCTTGTCTTGCTCACTCTCCACTTGTCTGTGTACCTCATTCTTCCTGGATACAAAAGAAGAACTGCAGCAAAGGCATCACTGGCCATAGAGGTTTCTGGTCAGAAAATTGACACCCTAAAGATCCCACAACATTTCGGGGGGGTTCATCCGGGATCTGTGGAAAGGTGAATAAAAGCAGATCTGCTTTCTGTTCTGTCCTTTTTTTTTTTTTTCTTGGAGTCTCTAAACTCCACAATAGTCAAAACAAAAGAAAAATACCTGGCCTCTGTCAGTCAGTTAAAAATGACTAACACAGGTGCTGGACTTAAGACATGGAGAATAGGCTTGCTGGGGAGAACACTGTCAATCTCCCATCACCCTCAGGTATTGGGAATGTTTGCTTTCTTCCAACCCGGTTTACCTTCACAGAGGTCTAGCCATTGCGTGGGACCAGAAAGAGGTCCTGGGGCAACAGAGGGTATCTGCCCGAGGCTACACCTCAGTGTTTTCCAAAGGTCCCTTGACTAACTCCAGTCCCTGACTGTCCATTAGGGTGTCAGCCTCAGGACCACCAGTCTTTCCTATTTTTTTTTTTTTGTTTCTTTCTTTTGTGGCTATCATGGTTCCTATCTCTTCTTTATATACAATGTTAAATGGTAAGGATGTTGTTGTAAACCACAGGAACATGACTAGGTAGAATGAGCATTTGGTTTAGTCATCAGGAGTGTAAATGAGAACAATGTGGTATCTGTCTATTCTTAGAAGTAAGTAGGATATAACAATTGAGAGTGTTTTTTTCCCTGTTGAAGGAACCCGCACGAATAGGGCAAGAGGCTTTTTTCCCCAGGCTCTTTCCCCTACCATGGACTTAAGTTGTACTATTGGGAGGCACCTTGTTAGGCCAGGTCCCCAATTCCCATGACTCCCTTTCTCTTCCTTGGTTGAGGAGGACCTGGTCCCACAGTTTAATAGGGAAGCAGCAGAGAGGCTGCCCTGCTGGTTGCTGGCTGTAATTTGTCAAGGGCCACCTGGGACTAATTTAATGGGTCCCATGTGGCCTTGAGGCACCTTTTCTCCCAAGCTTTGGTTTGAGGCCCTAGAAAGGCCCCATGACTTCCTTTCTCTTCCTTGGTTGAGGGGGAACTGGTCCCACAGTTTAATAGGGAAGCAGCAGAGAGGCTGCCCTGCTGGTTGCTGGCTGCAATTTGGCAAGGGTCACCTGGGATTAATTTAATGGGCCCCAGGTAGGCTTGAGCCACCTTTTCTCTCACGCTTTGGTTTGAGGCCCTAGAAAGGCAAACTAGATCTGAGCAAGCCAGAGGCAGAAAGTAGCAGAAATCTAGGGGCACATCGTAGGTGAGCATGATTAACTCCTCTCAATTAGGCTTTTCCCCTTCGTGGAGGGAGGTCATGCTCACATCTATGGCATAGATAAGGTCTAGAGAACTCAAAGGTTACTGACAGCCGAGGCTTAGACACCACACAGGTGATTGCAAATATTCTATACCTCCCTGCTTCACAGGTGAAGGTTAAACTTGCACCCACAGTCAGCACCTGCACAGGTCACTGGAACTTGGAAATATAAGGTCAAAAGAAAGAAAAGGGGCACCTTTTATTTTTTTCTCTCCCTTATGTATTCACTGCAAAGAGAAAACAACAAAGGTACAATTTTTCCCTCTTTCCAGATGGGCAACCAACCATCTTCAGCCTGCACTCCTCTCAAGTGCTTCCTGAATCACTGGGACCCCTTTGACCCTCAGACTCTGGAGAGAGAAAAAAAATCTTTTCCTCCTCTGTCCTCTCTACCAGATGGGTAACCAATCATCTTCAGCCTACACTCCTCTAGAGTGTGTCCTGAATCACTGGGACTACCTTGACCCTCAGAATCTGGAGAAAAAGTGCCCCATATTCCTTTGCACAAAGGTGTACCCAAATCGTGTTTGCAGAGAGAAGAAGCTTGGTCTCAAAAAGGAAGCATTAATTTCAATACCATCCTGCAGCTGGACCGTTTCTGTAAACATGATGGGGCATGTTCCAAGGCCCCATGTGAAGACTTTCTTTGTCTTGCTGGGTAGTCCAGACCTTTGCTGACATTGTAGGATCAATTCAGCCTCCCTGGTGGTCTTCTCAGGAGAGGCTGCAAGTGGCAATCTCAGGGAGCTATGGAAGTGAACCCCAGAAGTACCTGCAGTGGGAGAATAAACTCCCTATTCTCCTCCCTATCCAGATTCTCTTTTAAGCTTGCCCCATCCTAGAAATCTTCATTTTAGGCATGTCCCAGTTTCATTCCTGTCCCTACAACAGATGCCTGGTGAATATGACCTCATTAAAGTCCAAGTCTCCTTTTCTCTACAGGACTTAAAGCAAATTAAGGGGGATCTTGGCAAGTTTTCAGATGACCCTGACAGGTATATAGTGACTTTTCAGAACTTAACCCAAGTGTTTGAACTCTCTTGGAAGAAAGTCATGTTCTTTTGAATCAAACCCTGACTACCACTGAAAAGGAAGCTGCTATACAAGTGGCAGATAATTTGGGGAATGAGCTTTGTATCACATATGGCATCAGGGAAGGGGATGAGACATATCCAATTTGAAGAATAGCAGTACCATTGGAGGACCCTAAATGAGACCCCAATGTTGAAATAGAATGGAGGAGGAAATACTTTCAGGTTTGCCTACTGGAGGCTTTAGGAAGGACTAGGACTAAGCCTCTCAATTACCCCAAGCTATCCACGATAAACCATGGATCAGATGAGAATCCTACTGCCTTCCTGGAAAGGATAAGGGGGAACTTGGAAAGATAATACAAGAAAAAGGCAGAGGCTATAATAGCCACCTTTCAGGCTCACAAACCTCAGAGTCCCCAAGATGCACCTGCTAACTGCTACAAATGTGGCAAGACAGGGCACTTTAGAAAGGACTGTCCAGACAGCAGGAGGAAGCCACCTTAACCCTGTCCAATTTGCAGTGGGGACCACTGGAGGGCAGACTGTCCCCAGAGACACAGGTCATCAGGTCTACAGCTAGTCTCCCAAATGGTCTAGCAGGACTGATTGGTCCCAGGGATCCTCTTCCCAGCTCTGGTGGTCCAGATCACCTTTACCATCTGGGAGTTCTGGGTGATTCTGGAAGTCAAAGGGAGGAAGGTGGACTTTCTCCTGAACACTGGAGTGAGCCTTTCAGCTATCCTCTCCAATCCAGGCCCCCTTTCCTCTCTTAGCATGGCTGTGAGAGGTGTTTCAGGAAAACTTTAAACCCAACATTTTCCCCAAACTCTTAATTATAGTTGGGAAGACCTCTTGTTAACTCATGCCTTTTTAATTATGCCTGAAAGCCCAACTCCTCTGCTAAGCAGGAATATTTTGGCTCATATGGGAACCATCATCTTGATGGCTCCTGGGCAGACACTTTGTCTTCCCCTAGTGGAGGTCGATGTTAACCCAGAAGTTAGGGCAGCTCAAGGGAAAATTGGCCTAGGCACAAAAGTCACACTGGTCTGGATCCATCTTAAGCATCCTAATTTCTTTCCTAACCAGATACGATATTCCCTAAAACCAGAAGTCAGGAAAAGATTAGAAGTCATCAATGCTAACTTAAGGATGCAGGGCCTCCTCAAACCCTATAATAGCCCTTGTAATACCCCAATATTGTCCAGAACTTCTGCCTCATTAGGGAGGCTATGGTTTCAATTCATCCAGTGGTTCCCAATGCTTATAACCTGCTAATTCAAATACCTGAGGGAATTAAAAGTTTCAAAGTCCAGGACCTAAAGGATGCCTTTTTCTGCATATCATTACATCCCAACTCCCAGTATTTGTTTGCATTCAAGAATCCCTCCAATAAGCCACCCAGTTAACCTGGACAGTGTTAACTCAGGGATTCTGAGACAGCCCCCACTTGTTTGGACAAGCATTGTCAAAAGATCTCAGTTTCTTTTTCCTCAGGTTAAAGTTTTACAATATGTAGATGATATTCTCCTTTGTGCCTCAAATGAGGAAATTTCTCTGGAGGGCAATAAGGCCCTTCTTAATTTTCTGGCTAACAGAGTATATAAGGTCTCAAAATCTAAGCCTCATCTCTGTCAGACTTCAGTGAAGTACTTAGGTCTAGTCTTATCAGAGGGGAAGTAACTAGGTCTAGTTTCGTGAAGGCACTAAGCAAAGAAAGGATCAAGCCCATCTCCTTCGTTCCCCTCCCTAAAACTCTCAAGCAACTGAGGGGATTCTTAGGCATTACAAAATTCTATAGGTTATGAATACCTGGTGATATGGTTTGGCTGTGTTTCCATCCAAATCTCATCTTGAATTCCCACATGTGAGAGGGACCAGGTGGGAGGTAATTGAATCACTGGGATGGGACAGGTCTTTCCTGTGCTGTTCTCATGATAGTGAGTAGTCTTATGATATCTGATGGTTATTATAAGGGGGAGTTTTCCTGCACAAGCTATTTTCTCTTGTCTGCTGCCATGTGAGTTTTGCCTTTCACCTTCCACCATGATTGTGAGACCTCCCCAGCCATGGGGAACTGTAAGTCCAATAAACCTATTTTTTTCACAGATTGCCCAGTCTCAGGTTTGACTTTATCAGTATCATGAAAATGAACTAATACAGTAAATTGATTCCAGTAGAGTGGGGTGCTGCTAAACAGATACCTGAAAATGTGGAAGGAACTTTGGAACTGGGTAACAGGCAGAGGTTGGAACAATTTGGAGTGCTCGGAAGACAGGAAAATGTGGAAAGTTTGGAACTTCCTAGAGACTTGTTGAATGGCTTTGACCAAAAGCCTGATAGCAATATGGACAATAAGGTCCATGCTGAGGTGATCTCAGATGGAGATTATGAATTCGTTGGGAACTGGAACGATGATGGCTCTTGTTATGTTTTAGCAAAGAGACTGTCAGCATTTTGCCCCTGCTCCAGAGATTTGTGGAACATTAAACTTTGTAGAGAAGTGATTTAGAATATCTGGCTGAAGAAACGTCTAAGCAGCAAAGCATTCAATAGGTGACTTGGATGCTGTTAAAGGCATTCAGTTTTATGCAGGAAGCAGAGCATAGAAGTTTTTAAAAATTGCAGTGTGATAATGTGATATAAAAGAAAAACCCATTTTCTGAGGAGAAATTCAAGCTGGTTGCAGAAATGTGGATAAGTGACAAGGGGCTGAATGTTAATTATTAAGACAATGGAGAAAATGTCTCCAGAGCATGTCAGAGGTTTTCACAGCAGCCCATCCCATTACAGGTTTGGAGGCGTAGGAGAAAATGATTTTGTGGGCTGGGCCCAAGGTCCTTGTGCTGTGTGCAGTCTATGGACTTGGTGTCCTGCATCCCAGCCACTCAAGACATGACTAAAAGGGGCCAAGGTACAGCTCAGGTTGTTGCTTCAGAGGTGGAAGCCCCAAGCCTTGGCAGCTTCCACATAGTGTTGAGCCTGCAGGTGCACAGAAGTCAACAATTGAGGTTTGGGAACCTCTGCCTAGATTTCAGAAGATGTATGGAAATGCTTGGATGGCCAGAAGAAACTTTGCTGCAGAGGTGGGGCCCTCATGGAGAACCTCTTCTAGGGCAGTACATAAGGGAAATGTGGAGTCAGAGCCCCCACACAGAGTCCCTACTGGGGCACCACCTAGTGGAGCTGTGAGAAGAGGGCCACCGTCCTCCAGCCCCCAGAATGTTAGATCCACTGACAGCTTGCACTGTGCTGCTGGAAAAGCCACAGACACTCAATGCCAGCTAGTGAAAGCAGCCAGGAGGGGGGCTATATCCTGCAAAGCCATAGGCAGAGCTGTCCAAGACCATGACAACCCACCTCTTGCATCAGCATGACCTGGATGTGGGACATTGAGTCAAAGGAAATCACTTTGGAGCTTAAATATTTGGCTGCCCCACTGGATTTTGGACTTGCATGTGGCCTGCAGCCCCTTCATTTTGGCCAATGTCTTCCATTTGGAACGGCTGTATTTACCTAATGCCTGTACCCCCATTGTATCTAGGAAGCAACTAACTTGCTTTTGATTTTACAACCCCAAAGGTGGAAGGTACTTGCTTTGTCTGATAAGACTTCAGACTATGGACTTTTGAATTAATGGTGAAATGAGTTAAGATTTTGGGGGACTGTTTGAAAGGCATGATTGGTTTTGAACGTGAGGACATGAGATTTGAGAGGGGCTGGTGGTGGAATGATATTGTTTGGCTGTGTCCCCACCCAAATCTCATCTTGACTTCCCACATGTTGTGGGAGGGGCCAGGTGAGAGGTAAGTCAATCATGGGGGCAGGTCTTTCCTGTGCTGTTCTCATGATAGTAAGTCTCAAGAGATCTGATGGTTATTATAAGGGGGAATTTCCCCGCACAATCTCTTTTCTCTTGTCTGCCACCATGTGAGATATGTCTTTCACCTTCTGCCATAATTGTGAGGCCACTGCAGACACATGGAACTGTAAGTCCAATAAACCTCTTTCTTTTTTAAATTGCCCAGTCTCAGGTATGTCTTTATCAGCAGCGTGAAAATGGACTAATACAGTTGAGTATGGTGAAATAGCTCATCCCTTGTATCACCTAATAATGGAGACTCAGACAGCTAAGACCCACTCTGTAACTTGGGAACCAGAGGCTAAAAGGGCCTTTTACCCTTTAAAACAAGCCTTGCTTGTGGCACCTGCTCTTAGTCTTTTCACTGGGGATATGTTCAATCTTTATGTTTCAAAAAGGGGAATGGCCCTGGGAGTTCTAACGCAGGCCTGAGGTCCAGCCCAGCATCCTGTGGCTACCTAAGCAAGGAGCTTTATTTAGTAGATAAAGAATGGCTACGTGCCTCTGGGCAGTTTCATGGGTACCTTTGCTGGTACCAGAGGCTACTGAGTTAACCATGGGGAATAACCTAACCATTTATACCCCACATAATGTAGCAGGTCTTCTGTCTTCTAAGGGGTCTCTGGGTAACAGGCAACCACCTCCTTAAATATCAAGCTCTGGCATTAGAGGTATCTGCATTCCAGTTAAGAACCTGTCACTCCCTAAACCCAGCCACCTTCCTTCCAGAGGAAGCTGGGGAGCTTGAAAATGACTGCAAACAGATAGTAGTGCAAACCTATGCAACCAGAGAGGACCTCATAGAAACCCCCTTAGAGAACCCAGACTGGATTATCTTTATGGACTGAAGTTCCTTTGTAGAGCAAGAGATCCATGAGGCAGGCTATGCAAGAGTCACCCTGAATGATGTTGAGAGCGTGCATCTCTCCTCAGATACAAGTGCTCAACTAGCAAAGCTGCACTTAAGCAATGGGAAAACAGTTCACATTTGCACTGATTCTAAGTATGCTTTCCTAGCTCTCCATGCCCATGCCACTATTGGGAAAGAGAGGATCTCCTCGCAGACAGTGGGTCTCCCATTAAATACCATCAGGAAATCAACAGACTATAATCCTCAGTCTTCCTTCCATGGAAAGTGGCAGTAATACATTGTAAAGGCCACCAAAAGGGGACAGATAAAATAGCTGAGGGAAATAAATTGGTAGGCCAGCAGCTAAGTCAGCAGCAAGAGGGCCAAGATTTTTGATCCACTTGAGGCCTCTCTGATCTGAGAAGGCTCCATAAAAGAAATAAAACCTCAGCGTTCCTCTGTAGAGATAGAATGGGGTACCTCTCAGGCATACACCCTTCAGTCCTTAGTTTGGCTGCAATCAGAGGATGGTAAGCCTCATCTACCAGCTTCTAGCCAATGGAAAGTTTTAAAAATCCACCACCTGGACTTCACCTAGGTAAGGATAAAACTTATCAAGTGGCCCAAAGGTTATTCTCAGGTAAAAATTTGCTAAAAATTGTCAAACAGGTCATTAATGCTTGTGAGACTTGCCTTAAAAATAATTCCCTCAACTGGCAGCTTCTCCCCTCTGGGAACCCAAAGAATAGGAGACTGCCAGGGGAAGACTGGCAGATGAATTTTACTCATACACCAAAGACAAGGGGCATCCAGTACCTCATACTACGGGTAGATACCTTCACTAACTTGATAGAAGCATTTCTCTGTCGAACAGAGAAAGCTTCTGAGGTGATAAAAGTACTAATTAATGAAATAATTCCTCCCTTTGAACTTCCTAAGTACCTCCGGAGTGATAATGGCCTCCTGTACCTTTGAGACATCCCTCACTCAGGGTGTCTCAAAGCACTAGGCATACAATACCATCTTTATTGTGCCTGGTGACCACAATCTTTGGGGAAGGTAGAAAAGACAAATTATATTATCAAAAGGGACTCCAGAAAACTGGCTCAAGAGACTCATCTCTCCTGGATTACTCTTCTCCTCTTAGCCCTACTATGGGTTAGAAACACCCCTTTGAAGCTGGGTTTAAGTCCCTCTGAAATGATGTATGGACTGCATTTTCTTACTAATAATTTCCTACTAGACCGAGAAAACTCTGATTTAATTAAACAACCTTTTGGCCTGTTTCCAACATGAACTGAAAGAACTACCAGAGGCCCAATCCCATGAACTGGGGCCATCTCTATTCAACCCAGGGGACTCAGTACTGGTAAAGCCTCTTCCAATCCCTTTCTCCCTCTCTAGGCCTGCAATGGGAGGGATCTTACACTGTACTTCTTTCTACTCCTATGGCAATAAATATCACTGGAATAGATTCTTGGATTTATTATACTTAAGTTAAGGCCTGGGAAACTGATGAATTTGGCTCTGATGACCCAGGAGAGCACCTGAAGTAGCAGAGTAAAGAAATCAGGAACCTCACAATAAAAATCACGGAAGATAAGTGCTAATAATTAACCCTCCCAGAATATTCTATACTTACTATGCTCACTTTTGTTCTGTTCCTCACCATAAGGGGGTCAGGGACCCCTTCCCAAGGGATTATTCACTCCCCTAAACAGTTATTTCTCTTTTAAAGTTTAACTGCCCCCATACAAGATTAAATATTTTCCACTAGGAGGAAATAGCTCTAGCCAATCACATAGTAAACCTCCTTGTAAAATTTGTTTCTTCTTGCTTAGAAGCCATCAAACTTATGCAACTGGAGCCTTGGAATATTGGCTCTCTTTTTACCAGGGACCCTTAGATAGGCCCTTAGATCTGACTACCATTTCCCCCAAAACAATGCCCCCTGTCAGCATGAAGCAGTTAAGAGCAGTTGTCATCCCTATCGTAATGGCAGTTAGATGTACCTCTTCAGAGGGAGGGTTTGATGGCAGTGGCTGCTCCAGATAGTCTGCCACTGCCATGATGTCAGCTGCAGAAGGGAGGCACGACCAGGCCTCCTGCTTCCTGGAGTAGGCAGGAGCCCCACCTACTGGGTGGGGCTGCAGACGCCAAAGTTGTGGCTGCAGATCCAAGCGTCCCTGTGCTCTTGGTGGGCTGGAAGCAGGCAGGAACCCTGCTCCCCCGGGCGCAGCTGCCACTGCCCAAACCATGGCTGCAGACCTAGGCCTCCTGCTCCACAGAGCAGGCAAGAGCACGGCCACTCCCTGGGCACAGCTGCAGCCACCCAAACCATGGCTTTCCTTCTGCCCTTGTAGGCTTGAAAGTGCTTGCTCCCACTGCCTAGTTTTTCTCTGCTGTTGGCACCTGCTCCAGTCTTGGAGCAAAGTCACGGCTGAGCCCAGGCACCATGGGGAGGCAGTCCAATTCCTGAGAGGAAGTGGGCAGGTCCCCAGTGAGGTTCCACCTTCAGGCCATGGAGGGCCTGAAGGCTGGGGGCTGGGTGGCCAGTCCTATAGAGTGGAGTGGGAACTTGCGGTGTCTTTTCTGGGCTTCCCCATGGCCACTCGTTGAACAATAGGTGCACACTTCCTCCCCTCCAAGGCCCATAAAAGTCCCAGACTCAGCCAGAGCTGATCAGACAATGGGAAGACCAACTGCAGAGAGAAGCTACCCTCTCCGCTGAGACCTTCAGAGACCTGCAGACACATCGGGACTACCAGCTGCAGAAAGGAGCAACCCACTCCAGGGCCTCATCTCTGCTGAAAGCTGAGCATTCAATGGGACAACCTGCCTACAGGGAAGAGCTATCCACTGCGGGTCTCCTCTGAGTTGTTCTGACACTCAGTAAAGCTCCTCTTCATCTTGCTCACCCTCCACTTGTCTGTGTATTTCATTCTTTCTGGACGCAAGACAAGAACTCAGGCAAAAATGCCACTGGCCACAGAGGTTTCTGGCCAGAAAATTGACACCTTAAAGATTCTCCTTCCTCAGACCTGAACTTCAAAGGGAGACATTTCAGTTTTCTTTCTTTCCCCAAATATTTGTCACCAGTGAACATTAGGCCCACCCTGGATGATTACTAGCTACTGGCAACCATTCTTACGGTTAAACACTAAGGCTCATTCCTAGTCTAACCACCACAGTTAGTGTACTCAGGAAACCAATAGGAAATATAAAGATCAGGACTCAGCATACTGTCTAGAGTCAGAAGCAACAGTCATTGACACTCTCATTCTAACAGTGCACCCAATTTACATAGTTGGTTTCTTAATTGTAATATGGAAATCCTTGTAGTCTATCTTAGTTTGAGATGCTATAACAAAATATCATAGAGTGGGTGGCTTATAGGCAACATAAATTTATTTCTTACAGTTCTGAAGGCTGGAAGTGTGAAATAAGGGTGCCAGAATGGTTGAGTTCTGGCCAGGGCTCTGTTCTGGGATGCAGATAGCTGACTTCTTTTTGTATCATCACATGGAGGAAAGAGTGTAAGAAAACTCTCTGAGGTCTTTTATATTGAACCCTAATCCCATTCATTAGGCCTCCACTCTCGTGACCTAATTATTTCCTAGAGATTCCACATTCCAAACCATGACATTGTGGGTTAGGATTTCAACCTATACATTTCAGGAAACAGGTGCAAAGATTTGGTCCAAGTAAGAAATTAAAATAATGTAGAGATGCAGATGATTCTAATAGAGCCTAAGATTTTAATTGTAAGACTGAATGTGGTAGGCATATAGTTATCTCTCTCTTTATGAAGTAGTTTAGGAATATGTGTCAGAGGAATCTGAGAGGCTAGAGCAAGTCATAGTTCTTCCCCAAATATCTCCATATTTTTGGTGAGTAGGTTTAGGAGCTAGAACAAAAACCTGTTAATAAAATAAATACAATTGGAAACAAAAAACAATATGAAAGTTACAAAGAACACAAAGGAAACACCTATTCAAACATCTATGATTCAATTAAATTGGTTACTTTGTGCTATGGTCTGAATCTATGTGTTACCCAAAAGATCATATGTTGAACCCTAATTGCAAATGTGGTAATATTAAGAGGTAGAGCCTTTGGGAGGTTATAATGGGATTAGTGAATTTATAAATAGAGACCTGAGAGAGCTTGCCTCTTTCATAAAGGCACAAATTTGATGATAACCTCCCAAATGTGAGGATGCAGTGAGAAGGCACCGCCTATGAAAGAGGTGAACAAGCCCTTATCAGACAAAAATTCTGCTGAAGTCTTGGAATTCTCAGCATTTAGAATGGTAAAAAATAAACTTCCTTTGTCCATAAGCCACCCTGTTTATGATATTTTTGAGATAGCAGCCTGAATGGACTAAAATGTTTTGTTCTTGTTAATGTTATCTGACAGTCGCCATAAAAGAAATTCAATAAGAATGATGAAAACCAACACCATTAATGGAGTAGGTACCATGTTGAATAAGATCTTTGGCACTGTTACATGCATTATTTTATTCAGTTATGAAAATAGTTACAATAAGTGAATGGGGTTTTTTTGCCTTAGAAAGTTAAGCCATACCTGTAGTTCATTTAATGGACTCTATCAGAAACATTAACTAAATTTGTTGGTCTTCTTGATTGTCTTTGATTTCTAAACCCATTTTAAAGATATATTCACGTTGTGTAATACAAACTTCCCAAAGCCATACTATTTTTGCTATAGTCTTTAATGCATATGAAGACATTACAAGTTTATATTACTGTCATTTATATGCATATATAGATACCCATACATATAGAGGTAATGTTGGGACATCACAGATCATGGTTCTCTTTCATTGTCTACATAAAAATGCCTTCAGTTACCTTTAGCAGCTTTTATACATCTATTTTCATTTTGAAGCATTTAGGCTCAAAAATCCCTTTTAGTTTATTTGTAATTTTTCTTTATTTGGGGTTGGTTTTTAGTTAATATAACATTGCTAAAATGTTGGTTATTTATAAGTGTTTTTTAAAATGTTTTCCATGAGGAAAGAGTTGTCTGCTTATTAATAAATCTAGAAAACCTTTTCATGTATTTTATATGTTTTATTTTGAAGCTCAATATTTTAAGTTCAGAATACTTACTGCATATATAAGTGCCTAAATAAGTTGTTTTCAAAAATTACTTCTAAAATTGTTTGTTTTGCCAACCAAGATATTGCACAGAATATTAAATAAAACAAGCTGTTTTAGCTTTTTTGTTCAGCACTTTTCTTAAGTTAAACATATTACATATAGTTGCCCAAGAAAATTACTAACTTTGATTCTTTGGGATTAATTATTTATTCTAGAATGGATTTTTCAGTTGACCTGTATATAGCAAGGTCATTAAAGAAAAATAAGGATGGACACAACATTTTCCTTTCTCCAGTCCTCAGAGAATCCTTGTCCTGCATGATTTCCTTAAGATAATGGCAAATGGTTCATCAATGACATCTGACATTTTCTTAATTACCCTCAGGGCACATGACATGAGAATGTTCTGATTTGAATTTCTCCAATTTTTCCATGAAATATGTTCTCATTTCAGCCTCATTCTCATTCCATGCTCCAGGTAACAGGTTTCTTCCAACACTGAAAGTTTTATTGCTGGCTATTATTAGTGTGTCTCCTTACCTGTCAATGTAAGGAAATTTTATCTAATTCTCCTTTTTTGTTGCCTAATATATTTACATAGTTTTTGTAAAGGGAAGTAATTTTTATGGACTATGTTAGGGACATCTTCTATCATCTATTTCTGGCCTTCCCATACCTAGCTCTACATAAATGGAAGTTTTATTAGACTTTTCAGCTTTTTTACCCGACCTTGCATTCTCTGTGTTTTATACTTAGTTTTCTTAGTCAATGATTAACTATTGAGTTTTAAGGCGTATATTCACATTTAATTTAGGATATGATGGCATTTATCATCAGAATAAATTTTCAGTAAATTGAATTCTAAAATACTTTTTACTATACTCAGGCTATAATTTTGCCTGGACAAAGGTTGATGTCAGAGTTTCGTCAGAAATTTTCCCTTCATGGGAATGAAAGTACTGCATTTGGAAACCAAAAGATATGGGTTTAATTATGTCTCTTTGTAATATTGGAACAAATTTAATCATCCACTTATTTTGTTGCAATATGTACGAAACACAACTAAGAATCCCTGCCCTACCTACCTCACAAAGGAAAGTGTATATGAAAGCACTTTGTAGACCTCAAAGCTAAGGACAAGTGCAGTATATTCTTTTTAAAACTACATTCTGTAAAGTACAAATAAGAAGATGATACTTTCTGAGAAACTGAAATAAAACTATTGAGGTCATGTCTTCCAAATTTAAGAGTTTCTGTGGCATTTACAGTTATCCTCTGGAAACTCTGTTGTGTACTTTATTTAGTCAGATGTTACGGGGTATAGGAAAGATCCTGCTTTTGTAGCTTGATACTATAAAAATGGATAATCCCTATGTCATTCCCTAAGGGAGTAGGAAGCTATCAAAAGCTCTTCCCACACAACTCTCTCCCGCTGAGTTGATACACATACCTTTTCAGTTCAATGTCAAGCTCCCATTGTACTCTGTGTCAGTGGAACAGCTCCTCAAATTTCCTCATAACTTTCATTGCTAGTTTGCTTGCTGGTGCTACAATATTGCCACTTGTATGCTCACTTCCTATTCCCAGGGATAAAATTCTGGCACAAATATCAGAAAATCAAAAAATGAAATGTTCACGTCTTCCTGGGAGGCTGTCTTTCTTTAATACTTGACATTTGGCATTACATTTTATTAGGCCAGACAGTGTAGGAAACAAAGGGAAAAAAGGGTTTCACAATTTTTTTAGTATAGTGAATGAGGAGAAGAAATATTATGTTCTGGATTTGATACATCCAAATTTTAAACAAATTAATATTAATAATTAAAGTGGCTAAAATGAAGTCCTAAGTAAAACTATCACCGTTTAGTTTTTATTTTGTCGTTTCAGCATACAAAATAGTCTTTCCCTTTCCAAGATAATTGCTTGGCATTTAATTACTTTTGGCTGAGTACTAATTCTGGGCTTTGGACAATTCACTCACCTTGTTTCAGACTCCATCTTCTAAGCTGTAAGTGAGAATAGTAATACCTGATACAAATTCTGTAAATAGGAATTGGGAAAAAATCAGGAAATCATTTTTAATTGAATGTAACAAATTATAATTGGTATATGTTTCATCCTCAGCAAGATCTGCAGAACGTATATAAACAAACTTGCAGACAAAAATTGTAGATATTGGGCTGTTCCATCAAAGAACGTAATATATAATTGTGGTTCCAAAAACCACTTATATTATACAAGAACAGAATACATAGAAATATATTTACTAAATGTTGTGGCTCAATTACTATAACAAGATATTCATCGAAGTTAAGATCAATAAAAACTAAAGTAGTAGAAATAAAAAGGGTTTCACATAGATTTCCTGGGAAGTGTGAGAGTGTATATCTTCTAGGTATGCAGAGGGTTGGACAGAAAAACTCACAGGTAAATAGAGTAGCCTTCATGAATGCATAATTGCAAAATAAGGAGTCAATATAGGGCAAGGACAATACTAACCTGATATTAAATAAAAAGAAATGCTTGGAACTAAATTTAAATTCTTTGCCCAAGTAGGATGAAATCAGTTTAGAGAAACTTTCAAAAGTAGAGACATAAAAATTTAGTGGGATGGGAAATATAAAATACATAAAAGCTTTTGACAAATGAAATTAAATAAGGATTTTTTTAGACTTTTCCAACTTTTGTAAATGAGAAATAGTCTAGCAACAATGAGAGGGGATATTAGATTTGGGAAGGCTAGCTATGGGTCGGTGGTACTTATTTATATTAGGGGTGGCAGTGTTATGTACTAAGGTACTAGTTGGGGGAAGAGAAAAAACAAAGAATAAACTCACAGGAAAACAATAACATAGCCAAGACCAAGTATCAGCTCTTAGATTGAGAGAAACTGGAGCAAATCATATTGTTATTCTTCCCTGAGAATTCCTCTCACCCTACCATTTCAATACAAGCAAAATCTAGTTCAAATCAACATTAGTTAACAACCACGAAAAAGAAAATAACTCACCAAAAAGAGAACCTGATACATATGTACTAAAATGGAATAGTTCCTTTGTTATGGCAATGATGGCAGAGTTTCTGGGCTGATTTTAATTTTTTTCAGATATGATTTACCTGATATTTAGCTTCAGCTTGCGAAACTCTTATTGTCTACCTCTCAGAGTAACTAAACAGGATTCCACAACATGGAGCCTTCCAAAGCTGGGGTCTGAGCTGATTTTGCAAAATTGCTCTTTGTTAGATACACTTCTAAAAGCAGCTGTCAAATCAAACAGGCTGCATTGGCTACAAGCTATTGAAAGCAAAAAGACAAACATAAAATAAATGATTGACCTGGCTCAGTATTGTAGAGAAGGAAAGCTATGCGTGTCAGTCATAGCACCATACAATTCTTCTGGGAACAGATAAAACATGTAAGAGGGGAGAAAAAGAACAACACCCCCCCACAAAAAAAACCTGAAAAAAGATGTAAAGTCCAAAGAAAGAAATAAAACCCAGTGGAAAACAAAAGGCAGGCACAGCACAATAGAAAAGGCCAGATTCATTTTTATATAGAAGAAAATTCAAGCATTTATTTCCCCTTCCTTTCAAGCTGATCACCTTAAGGCCATACTGGTTCACAGAAACAACTCAAAAAGCACAGCAGAGCCACAAGAGCATCTGATGAAGAAAAGAATCAATGAAGACAAGCTGGTTTAACTTTGAAGAATTATTAACCACGAGAAAAGTCAAAATGCTTCAGAAACAAGGAAATGTAAGTCAAAGAGGAGAGTGAGAAAGATTTATTTTTACATCCAGTTGACATGCCAGTTTACCCAGTCAAGAACTAAGGTAATAGCTTAAAACATCTTGGGAACTTTTCTATGAAGTATGGTAAAACAAGAATAGAAAGGGCTTGCCAGCTCTGCAGGAATTCACATACTTATTGAATTCCTAATTACCCAAAGGCATCTTTTTTACTTTTTCTAATCAGATGATCTTTGTTCACTGCTGCTAAAAAATTTAATATCACTTTAAAAGTCATACTGAATCTATTATGGTTAAGATTTGAAAAAGTAATCCTTCCCAATGAGGGGTATCTCTGCTTTCAATGATATCTTTTATGCAACTGGACAGCTGGCGTTTCTTAAAAAAGAACCTATGGCAATTTTGATGTATTTAAAAAGAGTTTTGGAAACAATATAATCACGATACAAACCCACCAATATGATGTTTATATTTAGCTTATGTAAGAATGGCAGAAGTAGATTACATACACCTTCGATTCTATAAAATAAGAAAATGTAAGTACATTACATTACATTTTAAAAAATAAATATTACTTACAATTAAATGTAGTACCTTTGTGAAACATAAATAGCTAAGATAGATTGATAGGCACCTGACTCCACTCACAAACACAGAGAAATACGTAAACTATAGCTTCCCTATATCCACAAACTATTTTCTCCATCTCCTATTCTTCCCCTGGAATCCATCATTTCCTCTAGAGTGATCAGGGATGCACATTATCCTAAAGTCATCTATTTTATATTGGTAGAACATTTGAGTACTTATCCAGGTTTCCCTTGCCAGTCTAAGACATTGCTCCACCGTACTCACATAACATCCTGTCTCGTCTGAATCTCATGTTCATATTTACCACCGCCTATCTCCACTCTCCTACTCAGAATAAACTATTAACCTCCTAGTCACTCCTCTTCAGTTTTGCAGACACATTTCCTGTATTCTTATCTATCTAATCAGTGTATCATCCTGGGTGATATTATTTTCCACATGGGTGGCCCACGCAGCACCACAGTCATCCACTTCAGCAGAATATTTTCCCTCCTCTACACTGAAGCTATACTCTTCTCTGTCCACAAACTATGGATTTGTCATTTCCCCCATACTATTATATCTTTAAAATAATAAACTTATTTATCCCACTCTAACTAAAATATCACATTCTTTTGGCTCCATTAACTCAGTTACTTCCTTTTCAACTTTTCGTCTACCTAATAATCTTCTGCAGTCCTATGATAGCACTGCTATCTTATTAAATCATTTTTCACCTTTTTAAACTTCTGGCCCTACGATATCATTATTGATTCTCAGTAGATGATTTGTACTCTTAATTCAAAGACAATAAGGAAGTAATTAAATGGAAAAACCTTCAGCTTTCTTCCTTCAAACTAAAATATTAATTTCCCCCCATCTTTTTATTATTTTTCTTCCTTTTTTCCATGTTTTTCTGTTTGGTGAACTTCTACTCAAACAATGGTCAGGTCTTAGCTTTTTTCATATTGATCCCACTGCTCTATCCAATATTCTTTTGGCTTCAAAACATCTTATATTTCCTCTTTCTTTCTATATATTTACTGACATATTGCAATATCCTATCAAGTTAGCTAAATTATTCACTTTTTCTGGCAGATCCCAGAATACTTATTTGCATTTATATGTGTATAGTGTCCACAGGGGACTTCAAAAAGTTCATAAAAATGGAATTAAAATATGAAAATAGAAAATAGAAACTTTTTTTATATTTTACTTTAAGTTCTGGGATACATGTGCAGAACGTGCTGGTTTGTTACATAGGTATACATGGGCCATGGTGGTTTGCTGTACCTATCAACTCATCATCTAGGTTTTAAGCCTTGCGTGTATTAGGTATTGTTCCTATTTCTCTCCCTTCCCTTTCCCCCAAACCCCCAACAGGCCCCGGTGTGTGTTGTTCCCCTCCCTGCGTCCATGTTTTCTCATTGTTCAACTCCCACTTATGAGTCAGAACATGTGGTGTTTGGTTTGCTGGTCCTGTGTTAGTTTGCTGAGGATAATGGCGTTCAGCTTCATCCATGTCCTTGCAAAGGACATGAACTCATTCTTTTATGGCTGCATAGTATTCTGTGGTGTATATGTGCCACACTTTCTTTATCCAGACTGTCACTGATGGGCATTTGGGTTGGTTCCAAGTCTTTGCTATTGTAAATAGTGCTGCGATAAACATACGTGTGCATATGTCTTTATATTAGAATGATTTATAATCCTTTGGGTACGTGCCCAGTAATGGGATTGTTGGGTCAAATGGTATTTCTGGTTCTAGATCCTTGAGGAATTGCCACACTGTCTTCCACAATGGTTGAACTAATTTACATTCCTACTAACACTGTAAAAGTGTTCCTATTTCTCCACAGTCTTCCCAGCATCTGTTGTTTCCTGACTTTTTAATAATTGCCGTTCTAACTGGTGTGAGATGATATCTCATTCTGGTTTTGATTTGCATTTCTCTAATGACCAGCGATGATGAGCTTTTTTATGTTTGTTGGCTGCATGAATGTCTTCTTTTGAGAAATGTCTGTTCATATACTTCCCCAACTTTTTGATGAGGTTTTTTTTTCTTGTAAATTTGTTTAAGTTCCTTGTAGATTCTGGATATGAGACCTTTGTCAGATGAGTAGCTTTCAAATTTTTTGTCCCATTCTGTAGGTTCCCTTTTCACTCTGATGATAGATTCTTTTGCTGTGCAGAAGCTCTTTTATTTGACTATATCCCATTTGTCAATTTTGGCTTTTGTTGCAATTGCTTTTGGTGTTTTAATCATGAAGTCTTTGACCATGCCTATGTCCTGAATGTTATTGCCTAGGTTTTCTTCTAGGGTTTTTATGGTTTGGGGCTTTACATTTCAGTCTTTGATCCATCTTGAGTTAATATTTGTAGAAGGTTAAGGAAGGAGTCCAGTTTCAGTTTTCTGTATATGGCCAAAGCCCGTTTTCCCAGCACCATTTATTAAATATGGGATCCTTTTCCCATTGCTTGTTTTTGTCAGGTTTGTCAAAGGTCAGATGGTTGTAGATGTGTGGTGTTATTTCTGAGGCCTCTGTTCTGTTCCATTGGTCTATATCTCTGTTTTGATACCAGTACCATGCTGTTTTGGTTACTGTGGCCTTGTAGCGTAGTTTGGAGTCACGTAGCATGATGCCTCTAGCTTTGTTCTTTTTGCTTAGGATTGT
The DNA here is from genome assembly GCF_000001405.40 of Homo sapiens. NCBI lineage: Eukaryota > Metazoa > Chordata > Mammalia > Primates > Hominidae > Homo > Homo sapiens. The sequence goes on from NC_000003.12 coordinate 82,660,458, forward strand.
CTTGGCTATGTGAGCTCTCTTTTGTTTCCATTTGAAATTTAAAGTAGTTTTTTCCAATTCTGTGAAGAAAGTCAGTGGTAGCTTGATAGGAATAGCATTGAATCTATAAATTATTTTGGGCAGTATGGCCATTTTCATGATGTTGATTCTTCCTGTCCACTAGCATGGAATGTTTTTCCATTTGGTTGTGTCCTCTTTTATTTCCTTGAGCAGTGGTTTGTAGTTCTCCTTGAAGAAGTCCTTTACATCCCTTGTAAGTTGTATTCCTAGGTATTTTATTCTCTTTGTAGCAATTGTGAATGGGAGTTTATTCATGATTTGGCTCTTTGCTTGTCCATTGCTAGTGTACAGGAATGCTTGTGATTTTTGCACATTGATTTTTGTATCCTGAGACTTTGTTGAAGTTGCTTATCAGATTAAGAAGTTTTGGGGCTGAAAAGATGGGGCTTTCTAAATATACAATCATGTAGTCTGCAAACAGAGACAATTTGACTTCCTCTCTTGCTATGTGAATACGCTTTATTTCTTTCTCCTGCCTGATTTCCCTGGCCAGAACTTCCAATACTATTTTAAATAGGAGTGGTGAGAGAGGGCATCCTTGTCTTGTGCTGGTTTTCAAAAGGAGTGCTTCCAGCTTTTGCCCATTCAGTGTGATATTGGCTATGGATTTGTCATAAATAGCTCTCATTATTTTGAGATATGTTCCAACAATACCTAGTTTATTGAGAATTTTTAGCATGAAAAGATGTTGAATTTTATCAAAGGCCTTTTCTGCATCTATTAAGATAATCATGTGGTTTTTGTCATTGGTTATGTTTATATTTGAACCAGCCTTGCATCCTAGGGATGAAGCCAACTTGATTGTGGTGGATAAGCTTTTCGATGTGCTGCTGGATTCGATTTGCTAGTATTTTATTGAGGATTTTCACATTGATGTTCATCAGGGATATTGGCCTGAAATTTTCATTTTTTGTTGTGTCTCTGCCAGGTTTTGGTATCAGGATGATGTTGGCCTTATAAAATCATTTAGGGATGAGGCCCTCTTTTTCTACTGTTTGTAATAGTTTCACAAGGAATGGTACCAGCTCCACTTTGTGCCTCTGGTAGAATTCAGCTGTGAATCTGTCTGGTCCTTGGCTTTTTTTCATTGGTAGGCTATTAATTACTGCCTCAGTTTCAGAACTTGTTATTGGTGTATTCAGGGACTTGACTTCCTTCTGGTTTAGTTATGGGAGGGTGTATGTATCCAGAAATTTATTAATTTCTTCTAGATTTTCTAGTTTATTTGCGGAGACGTGTTCATAGTATTTTCTGATAGTAATTTGTATTTCTGTGGGGTCAGTGGTGATATCCTCTTTATCATTTTTATTGTGTCTATTTGATTCTTCTATCTCTTATTCTTTTTTCTCTTATTCTTTTTTCATCTAGCTAGTGGTCCATCTATTTTGTTAATCTTATTAAAAGAAACAGTTCCTGGATTTCTTAAAATAATTTTCATCAGCTTCTAGTCACTTTTGTAAGCAATCATACCAGCCATTTAGTCTATCCCTAAAGAACTGAGGTTCCTGGAAATTTAACTATGTCAATGCAGTTTTTGTTACATTACTAATAAAAAAAAAATCAATGCCATTTGAATACTTTTTCAAGGTCGGAAAACTAAAAGAAGTCAAAAGGAGCCAAATCAAGGCTACATAGTGGATGTCTAATGATTTCTCAAAGATACTTTTACAAAATTTCCCTTATTTGATGAGAGGAATGAGCAGGGGCATTGTCACGGTGAAGAAGGACTCTGGTGAAGCTTTCCAAAGTGTCTTTTGCTAATGCTTTGGTTAACTTTCTTAAAATATTCTCATCCATAGGAAATGTTATTGTTTCTTGGTTCTCCAGAAAGTCAGCAAGGAAAACAACTTTGAGCATCCCCCAAATTGTTGCCATGACCTTTGCTTTCGACCAGTCTGCTTTTACTTTGACTAGACTACTTTCACCTCTGGTAGCCATTGCTTTGATTTTGTTTTGTCCGTAGGATCATACTGGTAAAGACGATTGTGTTTTGTCCATAGGATCATACTGGTAAAGACATGTTTCATCTCCTGTTACAATTATTTGAAGTAATCCTTCAGCATTTTTACCTCACTTGCTTAAAATTTCCATTAAAAGCCATACTCTTATCTGCAGCTGATCTGAGCACAATGGTTTTGGAACCTATTGAGTAGAAATTTTGCTCAACTTTAATTTCTCAGTGAGAATTAGGTATGCCAAACCAATTGAGATGTCTGTGGTGTTGGCTATTGTATTTTCTGTACCTTCTGTTAATTGTTTGTCCTCTTCAGTATGGACATAAGCAAGATTCATTTTTTTCTCTTGAAAGTTGATGTATATGGTCTAACTGCAGGCTTCATCTTTAACGTATTTCATCCCTTCTTAAAACAAGTTATCCATTTATAAACTGCTGATTTATTTGGGGCCATTGTCTCCATAAAGTTTTTGTAAAGCATCAGTGATTTTACCAGTCTTCAGCCTAAACTTCATCATAAATTTGATGTTTGTTGTTGCTTCAATTTTAGCAGAATTCATGTTGCTTTCATAAGACTCTTTTCAAACTGTGTCTTCTCCTTCTTGGTGCCTCAAATTACATCCTGTTCAGATATGTTCTAACAAGTTGATATGAGTCTACTTTTGTGTAAAAAATTGAAATCCATGCATTGTTTCCTCAGCAATTTTCCATGAATATTTTGAAGACCCTTACGTGTATGTATGTGTATCTATATCACAACATGTATCTTTGTGTGTTTATATATACATATTTAACTATATAGTTTTTCCCTTGTTAACATTCAAATAAATCATTTACACTTCTGTCTAAGTGTAAATTAAGTCATCCCACTTCTTAATAAAGTCGTTAGCCAACATAAACTCAAAAAGAACATGTTTATAAACTTTAGCAGAGTTTTTTTGGTACAGTTTTAGATTTATAGAAAAATTGACAAAATAGTAAAGAGTTCATATAAATGCAACATAGAAATTATTATTAACATGTTATTTTCATGTGGCGTATTTATTACAATTAATGAGTCAATAGTAATACATTGTTATTAACTAAAGTTCATAGTTTATACAGATTCTCTTAGTTTTCACCTAATGTCCTGTTTCTGCTTCAGCATTCCATCCAGGCTATCACACTGCACTTAGTTCGGTTTAGTCATGTTTTCTTAGATGCTTTTTGACTGGATCTATCTATCTATCTATCTATCTATCTATCTATCTATCTATCTATCTGTCTGTCTGTCTATCTATCTATATATCTATCTATATGTATCTCTCTCTCTCTCTCTCTCTCTCTCTCTCTCTCTCTCTCTCTCTCTCTATATATATATATATATATATATATATATATATATATATATATTCTTTTTTCTTTGAGATGGAGTTTTGCTCTTGTTGCCCAGGCTGGAATGCAATGGCATGATCTTGGCTCATTGCAACCTCCGCCTTCTGGGTTCAAGCAATTCCCCTGCCTCAGCCTTGCAAGTAGCTGGGATTACAGGCATGTGCCACCACGCCTGCATAATTTTGTATTTTTATTAGAGATGGGGTTTCACCATGTTGGTCAGGCTGGTCTCGAACTCCTGACCTCAGATGATCCACCTACCTCAGCCTCCCAAAGTGCTGGGATTACAGGCATGAGCCACTGTGCTTAGCCTACTGGAACAATTTCGTAGACTTTTCTTGTTTTTATGACTTTGACACTTTATCACCTGACTGAGATAGTGTTTGTCAGGTTTTCTCAGTATAAAATTACTCCTCTGATTATTTTTTTTCGCTCTTTGAAATAAATTAGCTATGTAAGGCCCGTAAAGAAGAGGTGGAGAGTTAGGCTTCTTCCCTGAGGACATAGTATCTAATAAAGACACACCTCAGAGATTGTGGTTTCTGTTCCACACTCCAAATTAAAGTAAACATTGCAATAAAGTAAGTCCACAAATTTTTTGGTGAATATATAATTTATATTTTTCCTACATTGTATTATATTGACTGTATAATAGCATTACGTCTAGAAAGATGTACACACCTTAATTTAAAAATTCTTTGTTGCTAATAAATGCTAACACAATCATCTGAGCCTTCAGCAAGTCAAAATCTTTTTGCTGGCAGAGGGTTTTGCTTGAATGCTGATGGCCGCTGACTGCTCAGGCTGGAGGGGTGCTGAAGTTTAGGGTGGCTGTGGTATTTCTTAAAATAAGATAATAATGAAGTTTGTCACATTGATTCGCTCTTCCTTTCAAAAAGATTTCTCTGTAGCATGCAAAGCTGTTTAATAGCATTTATCTACCTACAGTAGAACTTCTTTCAAAATTGGAGTCAACCCGTGCAAATCCTGCTGCTGCTTTATCACCTAAGTTTATGTAATATTCGAAACCCTTCATTGCCATTTCAACAATGTTCACAGCATTTTCACCAGAAATAAATTTTACCTCAAGAAACCAATTTCTTTGCTGATCCATAAGAGGTAATGCCTCATCCATTTAAGTTTTATCATGAGGTTACACCAATTCAGTTACCTCTCCAGATTCCACTTCTCCTTCTAATTCTCTTGCTATTTCCATCACATCTTCAGTTACTTCTTTTACTGATATCTTGAACTCCTCAAAGTCATCCATGAGGGTTGGAATTAATTCATTCTAAATTCCTGTTAATGTTAACATTTTGACCTCCTTTTATAAATTATGAATGTCCCTAATGACGTCTAGAATACTGAATACTTTCCAGAAGGTGTTTTTTTTTTTTTTTTTTTTTTGATGGAGTCTCACTATGCTGCCCAAGCTGGAGTGCAATGGTGCAATCTTGGCTCACTGCAACTTCTGCCTCCTGGGTTCAAGCGATTCTCCTGCCTCAGCTTCCCGAGTAGCTGGGATTACAGGCACCTGCCACCATGCCTAACTAATTTTTTTTTTTTTTTTTTTTTTGTATTTTTAGTAGAGATAGGGTTTCACCATGCTGGCCAAGCTGATCTGAAACTCCCTACCTCAGGTGATCCACCTGCCTAGGCCTCCCAAAGTGCTGGGATTGCAGGTGTGAGACACTGTGCCTGGCCCAAGTTTTCTGTTTACTTTGCCCAGAAATAACAACCTATGGCAGCTAAGCTTTACAAAATATATTTTTTAAATTAAAAAAAACTTAAAAATCAAAACTACCTCTTGATTCATGTGCTCAAGAATAGATGTTGCATTAGAAGTCATAAAAACACTATTCTCCTATACATTTCCATCAGAGCTCTTGGGTGACAAGTTTCATTGTCAAGGAACAGTAACATTTTGAAAGAACACTTTTTCCTCTGAGCAGTGGGTCTCAATAGTGGGCCTAAAATATTCAGTCAATAATGCTGTAAACAGTTGTGCTGTTATCCAGGTTTGGTTGCTCCATTTCTACAGCACATGCAGGGTAGATTTAGTATTATTCTTAAGGACCTTAAGATTTGGTAAGTGAGTCTTGGATTCAACTTAAAGTCACCAATTGCATTAGTCCTTAATAAGTGAGTCAGCCTGTCTTTTGAAGCTTTGAAACCAGGCATAGATCTCTCCTCTCTAGCTATGAAAGTCCTAACGGTCATCTTCCAATAGAAGTCTGTTTTGTCTACATTGAAAATCTGCTATTTAGGGTAGACATTTTCATCAATGACCTTACCTAGATCTTCTGTACAGCTTGTTATGGCTTCTACATTGGCACATTCTGCTCAATCTTCCACTTCGACCTCATGGAAATAGCTTCTTTCCTTAAATCTCATGAGCCGACCTCTGCTAACTTCCAACTTTTCTTCTGCAGTTTTCTCATCTCTCTCAACATCTACAGAATTTAAGAGTTATGGCTTTGCCCTGGATTAGACTTTGGCTTAAATGAATGTTATGGTTAGTTTGACCTTCTATCAAGATTACTAAAACTTTTTCCATATTAGCAATAAGGCTGATTTGTTCTCTTGTCATCTGTGTGTTCACTGGAGTAACATTTTTAATTTCTTCAAGAACTTTTCTTTTGCATTTACAAGTGGATTAACCATTGCAAAATGGCCTGGCTTTTGGCCTGACTTAGCTTTCTACATGTCTTTCTCCCAAGCTTAATCATTTCCAGCTTTTGATTTAAAGTGAGAGACCTACTATTCTTCCTTTACTTGAACACTTAGAGACCATTATAAACTTGTTAATCAGCCTAATTTCTGTATTGTTGTGTCTCAGGAAATGAGGAGTCCTGAGCAGAGGGAGTGACATGAGGAAACAGCTGGTCAGTGGTGCAGTCAGAATATACACAACATTTATTGATTAGGTTTATTGTCTTATATGGGCAAAGTTCCTGGGTCCCCAAAACAGGTACACTAATAACATCAAAAGTTACTAGCTGATCAAAGATCAGCATAACAGATATAATAATAATAATAATGTTGAAATATTGTGAGAATAATAATAATGTTTGAAATATTATGAGAATTACCAGAAATGCAAAGTGAGCACATGCTTTTGGAATAATGGCAGTTGCTCAACATGGAGTTGACACAAACCTTTAATTTGTGAAAACTGTAACATCTGCAAAATGCAATAAAATAAGGCAAAATAAAATCAGATATACTGGTAAATTATTTGGAATTCTTAAGCATGGAAAATTTGTCTCTCCTCTCTCATTAATTAATTAATTTATGTAACCTTTTATTTATATCATTAAGACCCCCTAGATATTTATGTTTTCCTATAGGTTATAATCCATCACTTCTCTATTTTACTGTTCAAATTGTTCCTTTTTTTTTTTTCTACCTGAAGCTCCTTTAGTCGCATCCTATGCCTCTTTGACATTCTCATGTTATTGTGTGATGATGTTTCTTTGGCGGGGAGGATTCCTTATGTTTTAGGCACTACGAGATGCTCCAGGCGCATGTTGTATATTTCCTGCATAAGTCTTAGAATCAGCCATTTCTCTAAAGACCCTGGTTCCTTTCATTTGAGAGTGGAATTATAAAACAAGATTTAGGTTGTCGGTGTAGTCATCGCCATTGGATATTTATTTCTTTTAGGCCCTTTCAGCTGAGACGGTAAAAAAATTAAATGTGTCCATACTAGCCTGTGTATGTTTGCATATCTATAAATATTTCTGTATGTAAACATCTGTATCTATATTAAGCTACATATGAATTCTTGTCAATGTCTCCAACAATAATCCATGACTATATGGATCATTGCAGCCTACTCCTTTTGCTTATGTGTGAATTTCCACTCCAATATTGAGAACCGTAGCTCCCACAACCTGCCACTCATTTATTTACTTAAGTCTGCTATTCTGGTATAACTGTATATCAGTAACAGAATTGTCAACCATTGTCCCTGTGGAAAACAACTGATCCTCTATACTATAGGGCTTACGTGCTATTCCTGCTGTCTCTGTTCTTATAGACTCCATTTTTTCCCAGATTAATGAGGTTTTGGTACAGTCTTTTTCCCTTCAGAGAAGGACTTTGTTATGGAAAATGCTCTGAGTATATTTTTAAATGGTTCCCCTACTGCTGCCAGAGACATAATGGTATTTTTTCTTGGCCCTTCACCTTGACAACCTAATGAGACTCACTAAGATAAGATCCACAAAGTTCAAAGTTTGAGGCCCTCAGGGTTTTTTTTCATTCTCAAAAAATGTCCACACTCGCCTCCAGTAACTTTTAAAAATTGCCATTTAAGTCTTCAAACCACATAAGTTGTTTTTGGTAAGCAGATCTCAGTTGTCAATCTCCCTGTCCTCCTGTGTGGAGACAACAGTGACTCCATCTTGGTGGCCATTCTGCCATGTTGAGGTTTGACTAGCCCCAGTCCTATGAATGCCTCTTGGTTTCTGCTTTATTTACTGCCCCTAGTGTAAGAACAAAACAACCTTGATGTTATTGCACAAATTATAGGCTATGATATTTATAGTGTTCTTGCCTATACTGAAGGGTTGCCTTTAGTTGTCTTGCTAGAGCACGTATACCCTTTATTTATGGCATATAAGCCTCGATTCTGTGGAGTAACAATGCAGAGATCTACATGTCTTGCAGCCACTCAAGACCACGTTTCTGTCTGGAAGTTCCCTCATTAAATCACCCAACCCCACAAACTGGATTTGTCTACTCTCTTATTTGGTTTCTAGCTTCTTGGCATTTGGGAGTTGCTTTGCATATATGGCTCTTTCATAGGAAAACCTGTCACTCCAGATTTTGGGGTAGCAGTTTGGCAGTCTGATGGGCCAAGAACTACAGTTGATTTTCAGTTTTTTTACTTTTCTTGTTTGATAGGATAGAAGGGATGACTCTATTTTCTGACTTTACATTTTGAAGCTGAAACTAGAAGTTCTTTATGCAATTTTAAGGAAGCACCTATTCTAAGTAGACTCTCCTGACTAATCCAAGCAATCATCTCTTGGAAAAAAAGCCATCTGAAGAGTACTATGAATTCAATTATTATATGGACTCATCGGCCATCAACCCAGGCCAAAATTAGGGTCATTGATTTTACATGTAATAATATTGTGATGCCACTGGGAGACACACTAACAAAATGAGTAAAAACTAAAAGAAATAGAGAAGACTGGGAAAAAATAAAATACATGCCAGTCTGCCAACTTTTAGTAAAGAAACTCATAGTCTTACACATCATTATGTAGCTCCACAGAGTGATTCATATATTTCCATAAGTTAGAATAACTGAGGTGTGTAATTATAAGCTCAAATTATAAAAATAAAAATGACAAAACTATTCCTAGTACATTAAATGTAATTAAGCAAAAGTCTGTCTAATACATTTAGAACAACCGCCCTACGTGATACACCTAACACTTAAAAATGGCACTTCAGTTAGTCAACATCTTTTGCGTGGAAAACCACTCATATAGAACACCTCAATCCACCATGGTTTTGAGTGGGTGAACTATTTCTGCATGTTTTATTTATGACTGAGGTGGTACAATAGGTAATTGTAACAATCAACAGTCATATTAAAAATATTTTTCTTACTTAGGCAATGTTATTAGAGATGAATCTCCATCAAATATCTTGGGCATATGTTATATATCAATTTAAAATTTGTTAATAGTCTCTTATTTCCTCTCACCAAGAGTGAAAACAAGAGAACTAAAATATTTCCTGATGGTAAGTTTTCTTTTAGACACATGAAAAACTATTTTATTGTCAGAGACAGAATCATCTTTTACTCCTGTTTTTCAAGAGTGACTGAAAAACAAATTTTTGCATTGCAATGTATCTTATAAGTATTTGCTTAAAAACAATTTGGAAGGATTAACTCACTCTTTTCCTGGGAAGGCACTTCTAATAGGTACTAGCAGTGCTTTATGAAGCTGATTATGTATTCTCACTGGAAGAATCTTATGACTGACTAATGGTTCTCAGTGACCAATAATTGATCAAAAGATTCGTACAAATTGCATGCCAATGAGGCATTTTAGTATAGCAGACACAATTTACAGAGCTTATTATAGTTCAACTTTATGCTTCTTTGCCTTAAAGTCTGCCTGTTCTACTTCAGGGTCTAAGAAAACGAGTGATATTATCAAAATCATACTTTCGAGAGTTGGTTCGTAATGCTGCTGGGTGTGTTAGATTAGAGTGGCAGAAGCTGTTGCTAGAGAAGTCAGAAAGGAAATACTTTACAGACATTTACATTCAGGTTGAGTTTGGCTGGATGAGAGTTCTGGTATGGCCAAAGCCGTGCAGAATAATGGCAGTTATGTGAAAAGTTAAGGAGAAAGTTTTAAGAGTTGGAGACACTGAAAATCAAAGGAAAGAAAATAGTATTTACTTACTTTCTTATAGAGTAGAAATAGCATTGATTCTGAGTTTGGGGAAGTTTTTTGCCAGAATAAATAAGTTATTGTCTGTCTGAATTAGAGAACACAAATATTTTCTAATATAATGACTGCTTCAGGATGGAGAGATATTGTATATATAATAAGATGTCCAGCTGAACTTGTGTGTATGTTGTCCAGTAATTGCAATTAAAGTCCAATGCTGAGGACAAATGTCTTAAAAGGCTCTCATTCCAAAGAAGCTACCAGCAGTTGGCATCAGCCACTCTCTCACATGGCTTATTGAGACGTAATAGAAACAGTGCTATTATTAAGTGAACCCATAAGCCTCTTCCTAGGAAAAGAGAAAAAAAGTAAAGTGTGGTTGGTTATTGGAGATGTTGATATTATACAAAGTATAATATTTTTTCCTTTGTGTAAATTTTTTAATGCAGAACCAAGTAAAAGAGGGTCCCAGAATGTCATTTGCAGAAATTAGAAAGGCTTAGAGAAATGACGATAGTATGGTTGTCAGAAAAAATAGAAAAAAGTCGAGTTAAATATCAATTTCAGATAAATAACTAATTTTTGTTTTTTTGAAACAGAGTCGCCCTCTGTCGCCCAGGTTGGAGTGCAGTGGCGCAATCTCGGCTCACTGCAACCTCCGCCTCCCGGGTTCAAGCAATTCTCGTGCCTAAGCCTCCCTAGTAGATGGGACTACAGGTATGCACCACCATGCCTGGCTAATTTTTGTATTTTCAGTAGAGATGGGTTTCACCATGTTGGTCAGGCTGATCTCCAACTCCTGACCTCAGGTGATCCCCCTGCCTCGGCTTCCCAGAGTGCTGAGATTACAGGAGTGAGCCACCGGGCCCGGCCTAAATAACTAAATTTTTATATTACAAACATGTCCTCTGCAATATTTGAGATGACATTATAATAAAATACAGTTATTCAGCTGAAATTAACATTGAAATGGAAAGTCTGAGTTTTTATTGGCTACACAGGGCAAGCTAGGCATCTTTTTTCCTAGCTCAGTAGTTGCTGAGTGATAGCACATTTAGTTTTATTCTGTTGCTACCACCTGCCTCAAGCATAATGAGGGGGTTTTAAAAAATGTACTCTAGAAGGCTGAATGTATGTGCTACACAGTTAAGATATCTCAATGAACCAGTTCCATGCTTTAGAGATTTTTGTTATCAGGTAAATTGTCTTGGTATATAAAAAAAACCAAAAAGTATGCCTGCCAAAAGATTTCAAAGAGTAGCAGAAACTCAGAGCAGGACTCCTCAAACACAATGCACAAAAGAATCAGCTGAGGATCTTGGGAACAAGAAGAATTTGACTCAGAAAGCCTGGAGTGAGGCCTGAAATTCTACATTTCTAATAAGCTCCATGTTAATGTCAAGGTCAAAGCCCCACTTCTTACACTTTGAGAAGGAATGCACTTGAGCATTCTGAAAGTTGAGTCAGTCCACGATCTGACTCTCAAAATCTCAGGTCCTTAAACTTGGTCTTCACAATGTGGTCAGAGATTTTGGTGATCTAGAAGTATAAACCTAAATTTAATCAATCATATAAAACTAGTGAAAGAGTCCAGAGAGCTGTTCCATAGGTCACCTGTTTTCTCTATATTAAAGCCTAACACAGTATATGTCACCTGTCTACTCAAAGTTCCTGAGGCTTTCCATTCCTCTCAGAGTAAAAGCCAGTGTCCTCCTGATGGCATCTGAGACTCTGCACAATCTGCCTCTCTTTCACCTCCTAATCTTACCTGCTCTGAATCTCCCTACTCCCACTGACTCCCTCCTCTCCTAGGGCATTAGCTTCTCTGATGCTCATAGAACACACCAGGCACTCTCCTGATCCTCAGCTTTGTTTACCCATCTTTTCTACTTCTTATCTCACCTCATTCAAGATCTTACTTCAAATGGACCTTCTGAATGAAACCATCCTGCCTAGACTATTTTAAATTGCAAACCTTCACCCTCCACTCCAGACATTTCCTTATTCTTCTCAAATTTTTCTGTACCACTTCTTTTCTTTTCTTTCTTTCTTTATTTATTTAATTTTTTTTGAGATGGAGTCTTGCACTGTTGCCCGGGCTGGAGTGCAATGGTGTGATCTCGGCTCACTGCAACCTCCGCCTCCCGGGTTCAAGCGATTCTCCTGCCTCAGCCTCTCTAGTAGCTGGGATTACAGGTGCCCGCCACTATGCCTGGCTAATTTTTTGTATTTTTAGTAAAGATGGGTTTTCACTATGTTGACCAGGCTGGTCTCGAACTCCTGACCTCATGATCCTCGTGCCTCGGCCTCCCAAAGTGCTGGGATTAAAGGCATGAGCCACCGCGCCCGGCCTGTACCAACTATTTTCTAACATAACATATAACTCACTTATTTGTCCTATCTATTGTTTATTTCCTATGTCCTCATGCTAAAATGCAAACTGCATAAAGTCAAAGTTGTATTACCAGTGCTTTGAACAGCATCTGGCTCATAGTAGGCTCTTACCACATGTGTTTCTATTTGTGTTTAATTAACTTTTTTGTAAGGAAGAATGATTAAATGAAAAGCTACTTGACAGTTAAATAAGGGAGAATGGAGGTGGGAAGTCATAAAATATATTTAATCCACGAAGTAGTAAAATCTAACAAAGCATCCCTGTACCTTATTATATTTCTAGGAACCTGATTGTTTGTTCCACTGGAGTCAACTTTTTTTTTTTTTATTAATGAGTGCTAGAAATTCCCTTCCAAATATTTTTTTTCTTTTTTATTCTCCTTGATGGTTATTTCCATTTTGTTAAATCAACATTTTTAAAGTTAGCACCACATATTTAGCCGTGGTTTGGAAGAATTCCATAATTTTCTGATGGGTACACAATTATTTGATGTTATCCAATATTTGCTGATGTTATGATTCACATTCTCAGAAATGTAGGGACTTGTCGGTCTCAAATAAAATATTTTGTTATGCATACAGTGTCTGAAAAGATGGGATATTTAAAAGAACAAATGGTAAAACTGGAAGCCATAGAACTATTATTTTTATAATACTCACAATTATTGTAGAGATGGGAGAAAACAATAGTAAGAGTCTGGAGTAGACAGAGACAATCAATCCATATAGCAAATTCTGTGTCATCCTATTTTGATTAAACCATATGTAGAATTCTATTAATTCCAATTATTTGGAATATCTGACATTTAAAACACAAGAAAAAGAGCTAGATGAGAACAATATTGGTTAAAAAAATTGAGGAAATAGGGATGAAACACAGATTTTCATAAGACAGGGAAAGTGAGGGTTAAAGGAAGACTGATATTAATTGAATAAAAATTTATCAAGCACATACTATGTCCCAGGTATATGATGTGGAGTGTATTAATAAGATAGCTAAAATAAAATTTTTTAAAATATTAAAAATATGGAAGTACCACAATATAAAAATAAAGTCTCTATGATCCTAAATTCTATGACAAGGAAATAATATGTGACATTTTAACTATTTTCCCCAAATAATTTTATGCATTTTTGTAATTAAATATTTTAAATAATTGATTTTACTATATATCCATCAATATTCTCTTTACTAAACTGTTTGTTAATTTTTATTATGCACCCAAAGCAACAATAAAATTTTCACTAAAGCTTTAGCAATAAAATTACCTGAAAAGATTAAAATGCTTTCCATGATACTTTTAAAACTCAAGGTAAGCTCTACTATGTATTTATACATTACTTAAAATTTAAAGGATAGACTTGAGATCAAATTAGTGTTATTATTATTCCAATTTTGCCAATAAATGTGTGCTCATCTCTAAAAAAATACTCTATTGAATAATTTCCTAATGGTCTATAATACAGACACTTGGTCTTCTAGTGAACAATTTGAAATGTGGAGTCATGTGTTAAAAATTGCATATTTTCTTCTTAAATTTTGAAACAACAGAAGTTACCATTATGTTGGAAAAATCAATATTCCATTCTACTCAAGTGAATTAATCTTTTGTATTTGTAATTATTGAATCATATATAATAATTTTATATTTGTGATATAAAATGTTAATATTGTAATATCTGTAATATATTAATGTTAATATGTAACATATGTGATGTTTGTAATATCATGAGGAACTTTGTGGCTCCATATAATGTTCTAAAGAACTGATTATTACCCTTTGTGCTACAGATGTCAAAACAAGTTATTTGCCTGGACTAGATTTCAATATCTGATCCACAATTCTTGTTTTACAATAGAAAGATATATCTTAAAGTCATCAGCTGCCACCTCTTCACTTCCAGCCACAGCCAACTGGAGTAGAGGAGAAAAACTGATCCAAGAGCTAGCCATCTCCTTGCTACTTAACAAGTAAAGATATGGTGAATCAATCAGATTTGCTTATCCAGAGACTCAAATTCAAAATCTAAGGAAGAATTGCCCAGTTAGAAGCATAAAGAGAAAATAAAATACATAGAGACATAATTGGTTAGACAGTGATACGGAATGACCCTAATAGTGGGAAAGCAGGGTCTGTGATCCAGCAGAGCAAGTCAATTCATGGTGTGTAAATGAAGCAGACATGTACATTGTAATGACTATCATATTATTAATTAAGGACTAGAGCAACAATCAGTAAATCTCTCCATCTAGAGTTGCTTGAGCCAGTGTGACTCTAGAACCACCGTCTTGTTCCACGTTTTCTTTGGTCTACCCCATTATATATCCTATTTTATAAATATTCACAAAAGTAAGTACTCTCACAGACTGGCATGTCATTATAATATTATCCTCCTACTTGATTTAGTGTGTGTCTTCTCTTTGAAACCAAAATAGTTTTGTTTAACCTATCCCTTTAAATATTGCAGTTGGCCAAATGATGCCCCTCTCCAAAAAAAAAAAATATATATATATATATGTTGAGGCAAACTATGGAAACTATTCAATGTGAACTTATTTGGATAAAGTGTCTTTGAAAATGTAATTACGTTAAAGGTCTTGAGATGAGGTTATCATGCATTATCCTGGTTGGTCTCCAAATCCATTGACAAGTATTTTTTCTAGAGACAGAAGATAAAACATAGACACAGGGGAGATGAAAGATGGTGAAGATCTTTCCATCACACAGGTGAAGATGGAAGATACTGAAGTGGTGCAGGTATAAGAAAAATTTGGAGCCACTGGAAACTGGAAGGTACAAGGAATAATTCCTTCCTAAAGCATTCGGAGGGACTGCAGCTTTGCTGACAATATAAGTTTTGGACCTGGAACTTCTGGAATTGTAAGAGAATAAATTTCTGTCATGAGCCAATGAAATTGTGATAGTTTGTTACAGCAGCTCTAGAAGACTAATACAAACACCTCCACAAGAAGTTAAGGCAGAAATTTTTATTAAATATGTTTTAAATATATAAACATTGTTTCTATTTCCTCAAATAGAATATTGTGGATATAATTTAGACTATCTTTTTAAAACTCTGAATAGACTTTATAAACTTTAGCTTTATATTTCGCAATGACAGTGATGTTTTCTGTGACCATAAATGTGTATAGAGCTATTCGTTACTAACAGCAAATAGCCTTAAGTGCTAAGTCATTTGGAATTGGTACTGCTTCTTTACAACATTTTTTAGTCTATTCATCTATTATGTAATTGTCAACATTTTATTTTTCACTTGTTAAACAGTATTCTAACATAAAATTTTAACATTGGAATTTATTATTTATATTAATGCCTATATTTTATAGAAATGCAGTACTTTCCAAAATTATTGCAGGTGGTAATACAGATATTTTAAAGTTATTGTTTAATTTTATTGTGTGTTTGAGGAGGCATTAAACATTAAGTTTTGGCTATAAGACTTTGAAAGTTATTTAGCATTTCTACCTCAGTTTCTTTATTTGTAAAATGGGAATATGGTTATATACATCAAAGAGTTGTGAAAATTAAATGAATTAACAACTATAAGCATTTAGATCAGTGCGGTTTTATATTATCATGTATTATTATTGTTCAACCAGTGAAACTTACTATTAGCTGTCAATTGTTACTAATTTTAATTTTGTATGCTAAGCTGTACTTCCCTTTTCTAAAAAAATTTACTTGCTTATGATCTATTCATTGAAAATAAAATAATTATGTTTCTTCTATGTATATTTTAAATATGATATGTAGTTTCAGATTAATGACCCAATGAGGAGGAGATTTTCCTTTAGTGGCCTATATTTTAGGACTTGCTTAGTACATGGTTTTCTTTCTGAGTCATTTCATTGTTATATGGCTTTCTGAGTCATAGCCTAACAAAACTAGTTAATTTCCCTAACATCTTCCCTATGATATGTAATCTTAGACAAAAGCATCACTAGACTGCTTCTTCTCCAAACTAAAACTGCAGAATTTACTTTCAACTCCTGTTTGTCCCTCAAAATGATATCCAACCTGTTACCAATTATTTCATTTCCAGCTTCAAACCCCATACATCTAAATTCATTCCTACTTCTGCTTTCATTATACTTTCTGTAGGATGAGATATAGAAATAGCCATCTAACTGGTTTATTACTCATTTGCCTTCTCTAAAGTGAGTGCGTGTGTGTGCATGTGTGTGTGTGTGTGTGTATGAGACTAAACAGAAACAATGTAGATATATTCCTCATATTCATGCATGATACATTTATACAGATGGCAACTCTTGCCATATTCCAAATCTATTTTTCCATAAGGGTTTTCATGCCTGGATTCTCTAAAACCTAACAGTGAACAACCACGATGACACAATAAAGATTATGTAAATAACCCTTCACTCTTTTCAACTTTTATTTAAAGTAATATTACAGCCACTAGCATCAATCAAGTTCCTGCTACAGGACTGGGTCAAGTGTTGGAGGAGAGAAGACCTTTTTTTTTCTTTTTAGATATTATATGCTTAGAATTCTTTCCTACATTAAAATTATATTACATATAATGACAATCACCTAGAATTTCTATAATTGAACAACAATTTGGATAAAATAGGCTTTGATGGAAAGAATACACTTTAAGAAGAATTTTTAATATTATTTCTGAATTGATACAGTTCATACAGATACAATATTACTTCGAATAATAAAGAAGTGGCTAGTCTCAAGTGATAAAGAGAATATATTTCAAAAATTTATTTCTGTATCATTTATATATTCATTAACTGCATATGTATATGTATAGTTTACACACACACACACACACACACACACACACACACACACACAGAGGTAGTTTGGAATACATATCCCTGTCAGATAATTTGTTCATTCTTGACCTCCTCTGGCACCGAGGTGAATTTTAGCAAAATAGTCATCAACATTCTATCATGAAAGACTACTAGATTTAGCAAGATAAATCTCACTGTCTTTGGGCAGTCACTCTAAAGGATGTAATTTTTTACAGGTACTTACCCAAACTGGCTGAAGCAGGATGGACGATGATCCCGTAAGGGTAGAGGATTAGCACATGTGGCAGAATAGGAGCATCAACAAACAGAAATGTCCAGGGCTCCATGTGATGCTCTCTCTATGTACTAAGAGGTATATTTTATCATGTTCTGAACTTCCTCACAGCTAGGCACTTCTTTTTCTTGGCTCTCACCCTTTCAGGTAGAGTGAATACCTTTGGCAATTACACCCAAATAGCTTTAGCCACAAAACGCAAGAGGGATATATTCTGTCATTAGGTACCCTTCTATAATGTTGAGAGAAAATAGGAATGATGGAGTTATCAGGAAATGAGCTTGTGCTTCAGGATCCATCAAGCTGGGCCACCAGACACCAGACACAACAGTATCAATTCATGCGTGTTCTCTAAAATTGCTCCAACAAATTACCACCTGACAACTCAAAGCCTGACCCCTGGAGCCTGGGATCACAACAAAGATAAATGAAGAACAAATAAGAGTGTTTTTGTTAGTATGAAAGACTGAATTAAATGAAAAAGCCACCCTTCCATTTCAACCACACAGAACCGGTAGGGGGAAAATACGCTACTACTGCACCAGGAAAACACTGCAGATATTTAAAAAAACACATTTTACCAATATCCATAAAAATAAATTAAAGTTCCAGCTGAAAGAAACAAAATGTTAACTCCAAGTCAGAGCAGTGGGGGAGAATTGACATCAAAGGCACACAGAAGCTGATAATAATTTAACTATGATCTCAATGTTTACAGGTAAATGGAAGTTCAGAAGGCATTTGCATATGCTCAGAGAGTGGAAAGAGAGGTCCTTGCATAAAACTGGAAACTGGGAAAGGTTGTGGATATAGAAAAACGGCATGATCGAGCCTTGGGAAATATAGAAGTATGCCACCTGGCTGGGTCACGAAAAGAAAAAGCTTGTTACTGGAAATTTGACCCACATAACTATGCTCTTTGTAATAAAGAATTTGAATTTTAAATTCTTGGTTGTCATAGAGCCTCATGCCCTGGCTCACATGTTTTTGGCCCCAGTTTTTACTACCAGGGCCATTGTGCTAGTTGTGTGCAGGTGCAACTTGACTGCACCTGGCCCCAGCTATGTTTTATGCCTCTTGCTTTCGGCTCTAAGATTTGTCTATTTGAGACACCTGTGAAAACCTACTCACACATTCTAAGTCATTCATAAGCCTCAAAACTCAAGGGAATTGACATCATTAGGGGGTGGCCATTGGCCAAGTGAGAGAAAAAGCTAGTGGATAAATATTATTCTTTTGTGTTTCTTGCAAACAAGGTTGACAGATTTAGCAAATACAAATACCAAACACCCAGTTCAATTAGAACTTTAGATAAAAATGAAATTTTGCTATAACCATTATTCCATGCAATGTTGTGATCTACTTACATTAAAATTGCTGTTGCTTATCTGAAGGTCTAATTTAAAAGTATATTCTATATTTTATCTGCCAATGCTACTTGAATGAACATTTCTGTGGCACATTCTGAATAACTCCTCAGGGTGTCCTCAATGAAGAAGAGTCCCAGTTGTCCATAGCAATGGCCAATTTGATAAAACATCTTTTAATTGTCTTCTCTCATTTCTTGCATTATGCTGCTCAGTTTCTTAATTCAGCTTCTAGGGATCAGTTCTCAAAATAAAGTAACAACACACACAGAGTGTGTTTTCTTTAAGAGTAACCATAAAAAGTAACCATAGAGAGGTCACCCTCCGGATGGAATTCTGGGGCTAGACTGCTCATTAAGAAATAGTAGTTAGGATTCCTTTGCTGGTGGGAAGTGAATTGGTGATAATTCTTAGCATTAAATGGTAGCAGAACTATTAAGATTTTCAGATATGATGGATTAGGATGAAGTGTCCATGGAAGGTGAGGTACTGAGTTATTCAATAACTCTTCACGGATTGCATAGTTCATTTTTATTAATGAATTGTAAGACTTGAACATAAAAAAAAATATATATATATAGGCCAAATATTAAAGAATGCTGTGAAGGATATTTGTCTTTATGTCTCTGTTTATTGCATTAGTCTGTTCTCACGCTGCTAATAAAGCCATACCCATGACTGGGTAATTTATAAAGGAAAGAGGTTTTTTGTTTTTGTTTGTTTGTTTGTTTTGAGACGGAGTCTCGCTCTGTCGCCAGGCTGGAGTGCAGTGGTGTGATCTCGGCTCACTGCGAGCTCCGCCTCCCGGGTTCCCGCCATTCTCCTGCCTCAGCCTCCCGAGTAGCTGGGACTACAGGCGCCCGCCACCACGCCTGGCTAATTTTTTGTATTTTTAGTAGAGATGGGGTTTCACCGTGTTAGCCAGGATGGTCTCGACTCCTGACCTCGTGATCCACCCGCCTCAGCCTCCCAAAGTGCTGGGATTACAGGCGTGAGCCACTGCGCCCGGCTGGAAAGAGGTTTAATTGACTCACAGTTCCGCCCAGCTGGGAAGGCCTCCTAATCATGGTGGAATGTGAATGAGGAGCAAAATCATGTCTTACCTGGCGCAGGCAAGAGAACTTGTGCAGGCAATCTCCCATTTATAAAACCATCAGATCTCGTGAAACTTATTCACTATCACAAGAATAGCATGGAATGACCCACCCCCATGATTCGATTATCTCCCACTGGATCCCTCCCACGATATGTGGGAACTGAACTGTGGGAGCTACAATTCAAGGTGAGATTTGGGTGGGGAAGCAGGCAAACCGTATCTTTTATGCTGCTGTTTATGATGTAAAGCAATAGTCGAATTTCATGTTATTTTATAAGGAGAACAAATTTTTATCATTATTATTTATTTACAAATGTAATTCCCTCACTGGGTTGCAGTGTCACCATTATCATATATTGTGCACATATATGCGTTGGTTTGTATCTTATATTTTAATCTATTTTGTTATTTTTGTTTTTCTCTGAACCAAATCCATGCTATTTTAGTTATTATTGCTTAAAAATAGATAATTTATCCAGTTAGGAAAGTAAGTGTTTCCATGTTACTATTTGTATTAGTCATGGCTCTCTAAAGGAACAGAACTAATAAGATATATACATATTAGATAAGAATATATATATATATATATATATATATATATATATATGAGTTCATTAAGGAGTATTGACTCACATGATCACAAGGTGAAGTCCCACAATAGACCATCTGCAAGCTGAGGAGCAAGGAAGCCAGTCTGAGTCCCCAAACCTCAAAAGTGGGGAAGTCGACGGTGCACCCCTGCACATAGCAAGTATGATGTTTTCTTTAAGTTTTCCATAGATACTATCCAGCAGATGATTTTACCTTTCAATTTGTTTATGGATATTTATCTTAAACATGCTGTTTACCTAACCCTTTTCAGATGTTATCAATGTTATTTGCTTTTTAAAATCTGCTAATTTATTGAATAATAGGAATTATTTTTCTAATTTAAATAACTTTGAAATCAATATTTCTAAAATATTAAATGTCTTAGTCCAAACTTAGAAATAAATATTATTTTACAATAATTTACGCTCATATTTTCTAAGTGTAATCATAAAATTGTTTGAAATCTTCTTTTGTATTTTTGTCTCAGGAGATTTATTGCACCCGAAGGTGCTTGCTTTTCCTTGTGCAGGGAAGGTGAGAAGAGCAGGGAAATGGTTGTTTCAATAGCAACCCCCAACTTGCACTTTTTCCTGCAGTTTCCCCAGGTCGCTAGCGAACTACATTCACCCAAATCTTCACCTTGTGATCTGCTTAACAGAAACACCAACTAAAATGTGACTTGTTTTGTATAATTTTTTAGAAGTTCATTTCATTACCCTCCCACATTTTGTTTTTAAGTTTTGCATTCTATTTTTATTACTTCATTGTTCCCTAGAAACTATAATATGCAGACTTCAGTACTTAATAATTAATTTGTACTTCTTTCCTGGAATGTACATACATTAGAAAAACACAATTTGTATCCCTTACTAACTCAGCTGTCACTATTGCATTGTATTTTAATTCCTTCTTCTTTTTCATATTGTTTCTTAGACTATGTATTTAGCACTATGTTTTCAGGATCCAGCCATGTTACGTTTAATTGCTGTTGACACTCCACAGTGTGCATTAGCACATTCTTACAGTTTTGTTGATATGTAATTGACAGAAAATAAAAGACACATAATTAAGCATTGAGTTTTGACATTTTCATGCATACGTGGAATTATCACCACAATTAAGATAGTGAACTTAGCCATCACCCCCAAACGTTTCTGTAAGGCCATGTATGATTTCTCCTTCTCACCTCTTCCTTCCTCCCTATCTTCAGGAGATACACACTTCCTGTCCCTACAGATTACTTTCTTCTCTAGAGTTTACACAAATGAAATAATTTGTATGTACTTTTTTATGCCTGGATTCTTCCACTAACCATAATTATTTGAGATTCATCAATATCGGTGCATATATAAGCAGTTCATTCATTTTTTAAATCTATAAAATTTATGTTGTAGAGCAGTTGTAGGCAACATTGAAGAGAAAGTAGAGTTCTCATGTACTCACTCCTGTCCTGACTTACACACAACCTCTCCACTATCCATGTCCCGCATCAGAGTGGTACATTTTCACAATCAATGAGCCTACATTGATATATCATTATCACCTAAAGTCCATAGTTTACCTTAAGGTTTACTGTTGGTATTGCACATTCTATGACTTTTGACAACTATATTGGCAAGATTTACTGTTGTATAACAATACAGAATAGTTTAATTTCCTGAAAATATCCTCCATACTCTGCCAATTTATCTCTCCCTAAGCACTGGCAATGACTGATGATTCGGTGTCTCCATAGTTTTGCCTTTTTCAGAATGTCATCTAGTTGGGAATCATACAGTATGTATCTCCTTCAGATTGGCTTCTTCCACTTAATAAAAGACATTTCAGTTTCTTCCATGGTTCTTCATGGCTTGATAGACGATTTCTTTTTAGTGCCGAATACGATTCCATTATCCGAATGTACCAGTTTTACATCTGAAGGACATCTTAATTGCTTCCAAGCTTTAGCAACTTTGAATAAAGCTGTTATGAACATCTCTGTAAACTTTCTGTGTGGATGGTGAAGGTAAATTTCTAATTTATTTGCATAAATACTGAGGAGCATAATTGTGTGGTAAGAGTTCCTTTAGTTTTGTAAGAAGCTGCCAAATTGTCTTCCATGTGGCCATACCATATTTCATTACCACCAGCAATGAATGAGAAGGCTTGTTGCTCTACACTCTTGTGAGCATTTAGTGTTTTTTATATTTTGGCCATTACAGTAGGTGAGTAGTGGTATATAATTGTTGTTTTAATTTGCAATTCCCTGATGACGTATGATATTGAACATTTTTTGTATGTTTATTGCTTTATCTATATCTTCTTTGGTGAGATGTCTCTTCAGACCTTGGTCCCATTATTTTACTATTTTTAATTGGCAAATTAAAATTTAATTGACAAAATAAAATTTAATTTTATTTATATATTTTTAATTGACAAATCAACATTATTTATATTATGGTACACAGCATGATATTTTGAAATATGTATATATTGTGGGGTGGCTAAATCAAGCTAATTAATATATACATTACCTTATATACTTATCATTTATTTGTGATGAGAACATGATTTCTACTCACAGAAATTTATTTTGACTAATAGCTCCCCAAGCTCTCCTCCCCACATCCATGGAAACCAGCATTCTACTCTTTTTACAAGTTCAACATTTTACATTCCACGTATAAGTGAGATCTTGCAGTATTTTTCTTTCTTTGCCCATTTTATCACAAATGACAGGATTCCTTTAAAGGTTGAATAGTATTTCACTATGTATGTACACCATATTTTCTTTATCTATTCATCCACTGATGGACACTTAGGTTAATTCTATGTCTTGGTTTTTGTGAATAATGTTGCAATAAGCATTGAAATGCAGCTATCTCTTCCACATGCTGATTTTAGTTCCTTTGGATATATAATGAGTAGTGGGATTGCTAGATCATATGGTAGATCTAAGTTGTTACGGAACCTCCATAGTTTTTTCTGTAATGGCTATAATAATTTACATTCCCACCAACAGTGCATGGTGGTTTCCTTTTCTCCACACTCTTACCAGCAGTTCTCATGTCGTTTAGATAATAGTCATCCTCACAGGTGTGAGGTTATATCTCATTGTGCTTTCAATTTGCATTCCTCTGATGATTGGTAGTATTCACTTTTTTAAAAATAAAACTATTGGCAAGTTATATGTATTCCTTGGAAAGATTTCTATTTATATACTTTGCACATTTTTCAATCAGTTAATTTGTTTTCTGGCTATTGAGTAGTTCCTTATGTATTCAGGTTTTATTCAGATGAATTCGGTCAGGTTGTAGAAAAAAAATCAGTATACAGAAATCAGTAGCACTTCTATATGTTATAAACAAAACATCCAACAAAGAAATCGAGAAAATAATTTATTTGTAATAGGTATGAATAAATAAAATACCTAAATAAATAAATGTATAAAATAAACACCTTTATTCAATGTTTGGTTTGGAAATATTTTCTCCCATTTCATTTGCTGTCTCTACACTCTGTTTATTATTTCCTTTGCTGGAAAGAATCTTTTCAATTTGATGTAATCTCATTTGTCTATTTTTGCCTTTGCTACCTATGATTTTGGGGTCATATAAAAATTCATTGCCTTATGCGTTTCTCATATATTTTCTTCTAGTAGTTTTATAGTTTCAAGTCTTACCTTTAAGTCGTGAATCCATTTTAAGTTGACTTTTGTAGATGGTATGAGGTACAGGTCTAATTGTATTCTGCTGCATGTGGATATCTAGTTTGTCCAACATCATTTATTGAAGAGACTGTCCTTTCCTCATTGTGTGTTCTTGGTATCTTTGCCAAAAATCAATTAACCTTAAATGCCCAGCTTTACTGATGGACTTTCTTTTTTGTTCCATTAGCCTGTATGTCTGTTTTTATGCTAGAATCATGCCATTTTCATCACTGTAGCTTTATATTTTGAAATCAGGTAGTGTGATGCCTCAACTTTGTTTTTTTGCTAAAGATTGTTTTGGCTAATTAGAGTCTTTTAATTCTGTTTCTGCCTTTTGCAGTTATTTCTGTCAATGTTTCATACACTGATGTCAGTCAGTGTTCAGGCCTTTCACCTCTTTTGTTAAATTTGTTTTATGTATGATATTTATTTGTAGCTATTACAATTATTTTCTTGATTTCTTTGTTAGTTTGTTTATAATGTACAGAAATGCTATGATTTCTGTATGCCGATTTTATATCCTACAACCTCACTGAATTTGTTAACTAGTTCCAAAAGTTTCTTGGTGTATTGATATTCTTTTAAAAATTGAACTGCTTGTTTTATTATTGCTGAATTTTAAGAGTTCTTTCTGTCTCTAGAGAGTGAGAGGCAGGGAGAGACAGGTAGTATAGATACATAAATAAATAAATATACATTTATTACATATATATACACACAGATATACTGATATTTTATTTTTGGTAATAGAAGTTCTTCTTCCATGATTATTAATGCTAGAGAAGGACTCTGAACTGCTTACTACCTCACTTTTTTGGTGTTAGTATCAAGAATACAAGACTTGGTCAAATAGTCAGTAAAACATGAGACAATATTTATTGGTTCATGGCTCTGACAACTCAGCCTAGCAGCACAGAGAAGATTATACACTTAATATTAGCTGGTTTGACACAGAAAGAATATTTGCAATAAACTTCGCTTTAGCCAATAAGTATATATATGTTAGTGGGCAGCTGGAAGTAAAGACAATAGCTGATAGTGGACTGTTGTCAGTATAAAATGCCCATCTGTACATGATTTATAGGGTACTGAATAACAATACCTTGGAAAAGAGAGCCCAACTAATTACTGGACAGAAAATGCATTAGCAAACAATATTAAGTGGAGAGATCAAAAGGGGAAATAATGAATACAATGACCATATTCTCCAGCTTTACGGAAATTTGGGTCACTTGTACCATTATACTGGGTGGGTGGCAGTGGTTTAACCTTAAATCTTAATCAGGGCTTTTACATTGGTATCAGGGGTAGGAGTAATGGTGTGGGAGTGAAGCAAATTATTGGTTTCCAAGCCATGACAAGGGAGGACCACTTATGCAGAAAAAAAAATTGGTGATCCACGTGATTCATCATTATTTGAAACCGTTGTGTCCAGAGAAATCATGCCTATTATAGCTAAACATGGCCTGGTTTGGAGAACACAATCATACCACATTCGTGACTTCTGACTTTTGTATTCAAAAAAAGGTAGGAAGCAACACATTTCTATGCTATGACTCAAATTATTTCAGCCAAGAGTGGGTGTAGGGAAAAATTTATCTTCTTTTTACACTTTTTTTCCAGCACCCTCAGTTCTAGGGGGAAGGAGACCTTTCCCTTTAATAATGTGGAGAGAGATGATAAATATTAAAAAGTTAAAAAGCTGGTTATTGTCATAGATACTTCAGTCTAAACCGTGCAACAGTCTGCCTTTGTCTTCTAAAATTAGAGCAGGGATTGAGTCTGATTTCTTCAAGGTCTGAAAGGAAAGCAACAGGACAGAGAGCCAATAATCTACGCAGGGCGTAAAAAAAGGAAAGGGTATTTTCCAGGTTTTCTTCTAGGATTTTTACAGTTTGACATCTTATATTGAAGTTTTTAATCCATTTTCAGTAAATTTTTGTATACAAGAATATGTAGGAGTCCAGTTTCATTCATCTGCATATGGATAATCCCCTATCCCACCACTAGTTATTGAATAGGGAGTAGCCCTTTCCCTATTGCTTGTTTTTATTGACCTTATCAAATATCAGATAGTTGTGGGTGTGTAGCTTTATTTCTGGGTTTTTCTACTCTGTTTCATTGGTCTATTTGTCTATTTTTGTATCAGTATCGTACTGTTTTGATTACTGTAAATTGTAATACAGTTTAATGTCAGGTAGTGTGATTCCCTCAGCTTTGTTCCTCTTGCTTAGAATCTCTTCAGCTATTTAGATTCGTTTTTGGCTCTATATGAATTTTGGAATAGTTTTTCCCTAATTCTGTCAAAAAAGATATCGGTAATCTAATAGGGATAGCATTGAGCCTATAGAGTGCTTTCAGCAATGTGGCAATTTTAATGATATTGTTTCTTCTAATAAATGAGAATGGAAAATTTTTCCATCTGTGTCATCTCTGATTTCTTTCAATTGTTATGTAGTTCTTCTAGAGATCTTTTGATTCATTGATTTGATGTATTCCTAGGTATTTTATTTTTATGTTTTGCTTTTGTAAATGGAATTACACTCTTGATTTTGCTCTTATCTTAAACATTATTTGTGTGGAGAAATGCTGCTTATTTTGGTACATTGATTTTGTATCCTGAAACTTTACTAACATAATTTATCAGTTCTAGGAAGCTTTTGGCAGGTCCTTAGAGTTTTCTAGGTATAGAATCATATCGTCAGTGAAAACAGATAGTTTGACTTCTTCATTTCCTATTTAGATGCCTTTTATTTTCTTCTTTTGCTTGATTATTCTGTTTGGAACTTCTAGTGACTAAGTTGAATGGGAATGGAGAAAGTAGGCATCCTTGTCTTGTTCCATTTTTCAGGGGCAGTGCTTCTTACTTTTGCGCATTCGGTATAATATTGGCTGTGGGTTTCTTATAGTTGGTTCTTATTATTTTGAGGTATATTCCTTTGATACATAATTTGTTGAGGGTTTTTATCATGAATGGATATGGGATTGTACCATAAGCTTTTTTTATATTTATTGATATGATCATATGGCTTTTGTTTTTAATTCTCTGTATGTAATAAATCACATTTATTGATTTATATATGTTGAACCAACCTTGCATCCCAGGCGTAAATCCTACTTGATCATGGTGAATTAACCTATTAATGTGCTGCTAGATTTGATGTGCTAGTATTTTGTTGAGTATTTTTGCATCTTGGTTCATCATGGATATTGCCCTGTAGTTTTCTTTTTTCATTGTGTTTTGGCCAGCTTTTGTAATCAGGATGATGTTGGCTTCATAGAATGAGTTAGGGAGGAGTCTCTCCTCCTCTATTTTGTAATAGTTTCAGTAAGATTGGTACCAACTATTCTTTGTAGAATTTGACTCTGAGTCCATCTGGTCCAGGGCTTTTTTTAATTGGTAAGTTCTTTATTACTAATGCAATTCCAGAACTCATTATCAATCTGTTCAGGATTTCAATATTAGGCTAAGTTTTCAAAAGCAATTACAACAAAAATAAATATTGATAATTGGAAACTGATTAAATTAAAGAGCTTCTACACAGAAAAAGAAACTATCAACCAAGTAAATAGACAACCTACAAAATGGGAGAAAATATTAGTAGACTATGTATCTGACAAAGGTCTTGTATCAATAATTGATAAAGAACTCAAATAATTTAACAAATAAAAAACAAATAACCTCATTAAAAACTAGGCAAAGACATGAACAGACAGTTCTCAAAAGATGACATAAAAGTAGCCAACAAACATATGAAAAAATACTCATCATCTATAATCATCAGGGAAATGCAAATCACAACAACGAGATACCAGCTCACACCAGTAAGAATGGCTATTACTGAAAAGAAAAAGAAAAACAAAGACAAAAACCCACAGATGTCGGAGTGACTGCGGAGAAAAGGGAACAATAATACCCTGTGGGTGGGAATGCAAATTAGTTCAGCCACTGTGGAAAGCAGCTTGGAGATTTCTCAAAGAACTAAAAATATAATTACCATTTGATCCATCAACCCCATTACTGGGTATATGCCCAAGAGAAAAGAAATTTTTCTACCAAGAAGACACATTTGCCCATATGTCTATCACAGTAATATTCACAATAGCAAAAACATAGAATCAACTCAGAAGCCAATCATCAGTGAACTGGATAAAGAAAATGTGGCACATATATACCATGGAATGCTATGCAGCCATAAAAAGAATGAAGTAATGTCTTTTGCAGGAATATGGATGCAGCTAGAGGCCACTATCCTAAACAAACCAGTATAGAAACAGAAAACTAAATACTGCGTGTTCTCACTTATAAATGGGAGCTAAATGTTGGATACACGTGGACATAAAGATGGGAGCCATAGACACTGAGGACTATAAAAGGGGGAAGGGTGGCAGAGAGATTAAGTGTTGAAAAACTACCTATGCTCACTACCTGGGTGATGGGTTGAACTGTACCCCAAACCTCAGCCTCATGCAATGTATCTTTGAGACAAACCTCCACATGTACCCCCTGAATCTCAAATAAAAGTGAAAAAAAAATTGGGAAAGGAAATGGAAAGGAAATCAAAGGAAAAGAGACTTCCATGATTTTATGGTAGACTCCCTGTAGAGCTTGTTTTTTTGTTCATAGATTGTGCCTGCAGGAATACACTCTTTCAGTGACTGAAGGGCATAATGCTATGTGTCTACTTATGTAACACCAATGTATATAAAAACTATTGTTTTGAAATTATATTTTTGTTCTTCATAAGGCATACTCTAATGAAATATTGTGCAGGTTTATTATTCACATTTGATGGCTATTTTACAATTTTTAAGTGAGACAGATGGACTTAAGACATTAAACATATTTTTTAAAGGAAAATCTAAATGCAAGTTTATTTAGTATAAATATATAAGCAACAAAAGGTGTTTGATACAAATGTCAGATATATAAAGAAATAAGTTAGAAAGTTCAGTAGGTTTCACATGATGAAAACATTCCAATACTCAGAAAAGTAGTTTCTTAAACCTAAATTACCTCTAATTTCTAATGAAAGTAATTGATTTCATCTTATTTAATTATTTAATTATCCAATAAAAATAAAATGTCACAGAGCAAGGCTCAATCAAAGTAAAGAAAGGTTCACTTTTTGTCTTACAGTGAGGTACACCGTTTAGTTATTAACAAGAAAACATTTTAAGCCATATGCTACTTGTGTTTTTTTTTAAGCTGGAAATTAGAATGTGCTAATTAGAATGTGGGCTGCATATAAAAATATACTTCTGTATTGCAAACATGCCTTGATAAGGACCTACGTTGAATATAACTAGAAAAAACACTGAGCTATAATTACCACACAAGCCAATAAGTAATTCACCTCAGTAAATTTTTAAATATATCAAATGACTGGTTCACAAATCATTTAATCACATTGTATGTACCTGTTTGTAATAAAACTTGTATGTGACAAAAGTGACTTGTGTACCAATATCATACAATTATTTCATATTCTTCAGTCCTTAAATTCTTAGCACAAACTTATTTGGGGCTCCTCCCTACTATCTATGCATTGAAGATGTCATAAAAACAAAGCATAAAAGTCTAGTTTGATCTTAAGTAATATATGGTGATATTTTGGCTCACTAACTAACCACTTGTTAAACTAGCCAACGCTGTTCATCATTCCCTTTGCTAAAATTATTTGTTAACCTGGATTTATTTTATGGAATAGAAAAACATTTTTGAGAGCAGTATATTATTATAATAGATGCAGTTCAAATACGTATCATTTAATTGTAACCCTCTTGATTACTTTTATAAAATTAACTTCCTAATAAAACTTTAAATAGTAGCAGAAAAGCACAGATTTTTTTTCCTTTATACATTAATTCATGTATTGCAGTCTAGTAATAGTATATTGCCATTACCACTATTTTCAACAGGGTTATAATTGTTCCTGGATTGTGCAAAAAAAAAAAATTCCTGAATATAAAGGTGAAATTAAGCATGTATTGCAGAATTAAAGAGAACAAACATGAAAAAAAAACATTTAGAGAAGAATCCATTTCAATCAAACTTTTTCTTTAATGTTAATGAACAATATTTTAAATTACTATGAAATTTTCAGACCTTTAATAAGAACGGCAAAAAGCAGAAATAGAGAGTCCAGAGAGGCAATTTTACCTAAAATTGAAATACTCTAAAAATGAAATACTCCTTAAATGATTTAACTTCTGTACCCTTTTGCACTCCTTATTTCTATAGGCATTTCATACATCTCATTTCTTTTTGCTGCTCTAATCCGTGGAATCTTAGAAGTAGGTTAGAAAGTCATTGAGGAAACAAGTATGCAGCATGAATGGTCCATTGAAAAAGGAAAGGGATTTCTAGTGAAATGGTATTGATTTATTCTTTTTTTTAAATCTCTTTCATAATTATCAACTTCATTCCTTAATAAAATAGCCATACATTTTATTTAGCAAAAATGTTATTAATCTATGTCATTTTTGATGTCACTGTTACTCTCCCATAATTGTGTTCAAAAGCATGGTAGATCAGTTCAAAGAACACAAAATATTTTAACATATGATATTATATTTCCTTATGAGTTCAAATTAGCTTGCTATATGTAAATCATGTCAATTTCTCATACAGTTCTGGAAATACCACATTTTATTTAGCCATCTGTCTTGACATTGACTAGGAAATGAATGATAAATGGACCTAGACAACACATTGCTAGATTCACACCAAAAACAGCTTGCAAGAAAATACCTATCTTTCCAGTGATGAATAAGAAGCACTGCCTACTATTCTGCCAAGGATTTACCATGTCATTTGTTGGAAAGCCATGTATTGACATTGATTTTACTCGGTCCCCAATCAAATGCCGTATCTTGACATAGGATTGAGTTATGGTCATCACCGATCATCAGCACTGTAAATATTGATGTAACATTGCTTTGCATTGGAGTTTAAAATTAAAGTTAATATGCAAGATGTGAAGTAGAAGCAGTATGAGCCAGAGAGAAGTTACTAGAGAATTCTGTGACTGAGAACAAATATGACACACAGAGTTGAATGACATCTTTCTTTAAAATTCTAAGAATAGTTATTATATTTTGAAGGCTAAAAATCAGTTTCCTATGGTTCGAAGCTTGTAAGTTTCCATAGTGAGCACTGAGAATTACAGAGACAAATACTGTTAAGTTAATGATGACAAATACATTCTAATTTTTAGCATTTATGTTCAAATAAGTCAATCATTGTGTTTTACTGTGTCTAATAGCATTTACGTTTAGGGAAAAGATAGAGTTTTTCCAGAATAAGATAAACAAATAAAAAAATATAAACATGTCTCATCTCTCCCCTAAACAAGAGATGATTATATTCCAAGTCATTTTTGCTCCCAAAGATATGTTGAATTTGGAAGGCTGTAAATATACTCTGAGGTATCTTAGCAGGCTTGATTGCTGTACCAAGAAAATGTCCCATGCAAAATTTTCTAGGTAAGAAAGATGAGATAGAAAGGCCTAGAAAAAATAGCCTCTAGCTCTTTGTTCTTCCCTATAATCAATACGATCTAAAACAATAGAAAAAATATATATTTTTCTTTGTAAAATATACTTTATATGGAGTATAGGATGTAATGAAAACAATGTGACTTGGCTTTTGACTGAACTTAACTCTCATAATTAAGCTTACTTAATCTTTACAATACTTGTTGTTATGCCCATATTCCATATAAAACATATTTTTCAGAGAGGTTAATTGACTTGCCCAAAATCACAGAGTTTACAAATACTAAAGCTAAAATTCAAACCTAAGTCAACTTAGCATAAAAGCTTATGTTCATTACCACACTATCTAATTAACAAAGAGCTTATTTGCTGATGTGACCCCATGGTTCCACAGAAATTAATATTATATACACTTAAGCACTGCATTTCACTCCATTCCCCATTTTCTCCCCTTCCCCCGGCAAAAGAAAGATATATTCAAACACATTGGAAAATATATAGAATATTTTTTTCTTACTTGAAGAAAAAATGAGTTTGGCATAGTTAAGTACCTTGCCTAAGGTCACACAGCAAGTGGCTAGCAAAACTTAAAGGAAAATATAAAAGTAATTTAAACATACCTAACAGTGGAGACTATAATTTGTAATACACACACTATTTAAATGTATCTTTCCTGCTGGGGGCATTTGATTAAAAAAAGACAAGGGGAAGTGTAATCAAATTATCTATTTAAACTACCTTGCCCCAGAGAGTGTATGGATTTAATAATGTAATAGCAGGTCCAGTGGAAAAATATGATGCATGATTTTTATAATGAAGAGCCATTGCTATTTTATTTTCTGCTCCCCAGTGAAAAAGCCAGAAGTTGAAATGAAAATAGAAAATAAATTGTAACAATATATTTACCTACTGATATTGCTGTAGAAGTCATTCATTATTCCTTTTAAGAAATCACACATCAACCTGTTAGAGCCGAACTGTATCCTGATGTTCCTGTCAGATGAGAAAAATTTAACCTTTATCTTATAGAATTTTACCACAGGAAAACAACAACTATCAGAGAGTCTAGAAGAAAATAAGTAGCAATATATAAATATATGTTCTTTTTTTTTTTTAGACAGAATTTCTCTCTTGTTGCCCAGGCTTGAGTGCAATGGTGTGATCTCAGCTCACTGCAACCTCCGCCTCCCAGGTTCAAGTGATTGTCCTATCTCAGCCTCCCGAGTAGCTGGGATTACAGGCACATGCCCCCATGCCCTGCTAATTTTTGTATTTTTAGTGGAGACGGGGTTTCATCATATTGGTCAGGCTGGTCTCGAACTCCTGACCAAAGGTGATCCACCTGCCTCTGCCTCCCAAAGTGCTGGGATTACAGGCGTCAGCTACCACGTCTGGCCAGAGTTTTATTTTATTTCATGTCCTTTGGTTTATTTATTTGATGGTTCAGGCACTATGTGAATAATATTTGCTTGAGTACATCTTATTTTTGTGTGTCATTAAAGATAAAACTTCCTTTTATCAGTTTTCTTTTTTCTACTCCTTTCAAACACAGAAAAATGATGGACCCTATTTTAGCTTTGAAGCCTTCAAACTCCTTAATTTGTTTTTACAAATAAATGTCCTATTTTCCATGTCCTGTTGTTATTTCTTTTACCTCTTTTGTAAGGTTATCCATTCCTTCTCATTCTTTAAATATTCTTATGTTTTGGTCTTAGTCCACACAGCTCACCAAAATCTTGTTATATATTTTTATTTAAAAAGTTTATTCCATATTGAAAGGAAATATATCACATTGAAAAATTCTAAGTATTTGATATGTTTCATTTTCTCTGCAGAAGTGGAGCCCACAGGTTTAGTTAAAAATAAATCGTTTAAATAATAATAAAATCATTATATTAATTTTGTGGCAGAAATGATTTTATTATTTTAATATGTTTTTTGCCACAATAGTAAAATTGTTTATATCTCTACAAGGGCAGCATGGGAAATCACAGTATAAACTGTTCCCAAGCAGTCAAACTCTTGGCAGATATATAGGATTAGAGGAGGAGTCCTTGAATAAAAGATATTTACAGCAAACATTCCTGGCAGATGCAGATAGGATATGGGGCTAATGAAGCTGAAGCTTTGGGTACTATCAGGTGTATGTGCACTTTCTAAGGCTTTGGGAAGAGGCAGCAGAATGTCTTTACATGATCATATATTGCTAACAAGTAGCAAAAAATATATTTAAAAAGTTTACGATGCCTTGTATTTTTGGTTTCCTTCTCTTAAAGAGTACTCTCAAATTATCCAAAATTCAGCCCTGCAAAATTTCATTCCACACATGACTTCTGACGTGTAATCTGGGATATAAAATTAATATGTTCCAGGAATACAGCAACTCATTATACATTCTTGGCAATGCAAAAAGCATCAAAGTTTTCCTGTTCAATCTCACAATAAAATGACTTGAAATTCTTAAAGTATGTTATATATTATGCTTTCTAAAAATGTTCTTTTATGTTCCTTTCAAATTGGCAATTAAAAATAAAGCAACTTTGTTAAAATATAAGTTAAATAAAATTAAATGCATCCATATCTAAGAATAAGTTTTCATGAATGGATACACATTTGTAAACAAAATTACATTCAAGATATAGAGGAGGGCTATTTACAGCATGAGAGGATAAGAAACTTTGTGGACCTGTTTATCAAAGAAACTGGTGAAAATTATTAAAAAACATTTTAAGTATCTGGAATTGCTAGAAAGGCATATGACAAATAAACATTCATTCAAGAAAATCTTCTAACGCTCAGTAAGAACTGTAAGAGTTTGTGGTGTCTAAACCAAGATTGCACTCTCCCATCCTTCTCCCAGCTCACTGGGACACAAACTCTAATCTAAACGAATATAGTAAGAACACAGGGCTGGCCGGGGGTGGTGGCTCATGCCTGTAATCCCAGCACTTTGGGAGGCCAAGGCAGGCGGATCACGAGGTCAGGAGATCGAGATCATCCTGGCTAACATGGTGAAACCCCGTCTCTACTAAAAATACAAAACAAAACAAAACAAAAAACATTAGCCAGGCATGGTGGTGGCTGGCGCCTGTAGTCCCAACTACTTGGGAGGCTGAGGCAGGAGAATGGCGTGAACGCAGGAGGCGGAGCTTGCAGTGAGCAGAGATCTCGCCACCGCCACCGCACTCCAGCCTGGGGACAGAGCGAGACTCTATCTCAAAAAAAAAAAAAAAAAAAAAGGAACACAGGGCTTTTTCTCCTTCTGTCCTGGAGTCAGAAGACTATCTTCCATTTTGGGAGGATCAGGATGTGATTCTCCCATTCTGCCCCCAGGCTACACTTTGAGTGAGTTTAATCAAGAAGAGGAAGGCTTTTTTGGTGTTTTGTTTTGTTTGTTTGTTGTTTTTTCTTTCCATCCAACACTCAGCTTGCAAGTGAAAATCTATTTAGTTGCAGCATCACTGAGAATACTGGACTTATGATCATCCTTGCCTAGGCTCACAGGGTGGGTGTTACACACCTTGAAAGGCAAGCTGAGGATATCTGGGGCTCTGTTGTCTCATCCATGAAGAGGCTCAGTAATTAAAGCCAAGGGCATCATTCAGACAGAAACACACTATTGTTTCTGCTCCCAGCACCAGAGCCATGGTTCAGAGACTGTGTCTGGAAAGAGAAGCAGCCTTCAAAACAGATTGTTCCAAATTGCTTCCAAAGGAACTGACTTCATTTGCAACACATAATGTAGAGAGTTCAAGCCTAAAGGTACTATCACAAATAGGAAATTGTGATGAATGACAATTGGGAGGGATTGATAGATTCATTGGAGGTAGAGGCTAAATTGCAGGCTAACTAGTTTGCTGGAGTAAAACAGGGAAAGAGTTATAGAAATAACACTCCTAGGGTTAGAACAAATCTCTGACACTGACATAAGTAACTACTCCATCAGAGGTGCCTGAATTCAACTGGATTAGTCTGTGAGGCAGTTTTTGCTCGAGGACATTACTGAAGACAATAGAGCAAAAAGCATTAGTGAGTTTATGCTATATTATTTGAAATATCCAGTATTCCACAACAACAACAAAATGTGAGACATGCAAAGAAAAAGGAAAATCTCATCCACACATAGGGGGAAAAAAATCACAGACAACAAGACACTTCTGTGAAAGTGATCAAATGTTGGCTGTAACAGAAAAAGTATTCAAAATAGCCGCTCTAAATGTTCAAACAACTAAAGAAAGCCATAATTAAAAAGTAAAAGAAAGTATGATGATAATGTCATATCAAATAGAGAATAAAAATAGAAATTATAAAAAAGAATCAAATGTGAGTTTTGGAGTTAAAAAATATAATAACTTAAAGAAAAAATTCATTAGAGGGGCTCAATAATAGTTTTAAATTGGAAGAAGAAAGACCTACTATACTTAACGATAGACTGATAGGGAATGTTGAAGCCAAAGAATAGAGAAAAATAAAGTGAACAGATCCTCAAAGAAATCTGAGCCACCATTAGGTCACCAACATAGACATTACAGGAATACTAGAGGATCAGAAAAAAAGAAGCAGAAAAAAATTGTAGAAATAATGGATAAATACTTCCCAGATTTATTGGATGGCAGTAATGAATCACAAGACTGTATTAAGATGGCAGTACTCTCCACATTGGTCTACAGATTCAACACAACCCCTATTAGAATTCCAACTTTGTAAAAATGAATATGGAAATACAAGGGATCAGAATAGCCAAAATAATCCTGAAAAAAAAAAAGAACAAATTTGGAGGACTGGCACTTCTTGATTTTAGAATTCACTACAAAGCAACAATAATCAAGACAGTGTAATACTGGCATTAAGATTTACAGTGCTCTGGCTGTAAAACCTAACGAAATAGAATCAAGATTCTAGAAATAAACCTTTGGGTTTATAATTGACAAATTTTTGGCAGTGTGCTAAGGTTATTCAATGGGTATAGAATGATACTTTTCAGCAAATAGCGCAAGAACAACTGGACAACCACATATAAAAAAATTAATTTTGACCTCAACTTACAGCATACACAAGAATTACCTCAAAGTGTTTCAATGAGTAATTGTTAATGCTAAAAGTGTAAAGCTCATAGAGAAAGACATAAATCTTCAGGATCCGACATTTGGCAATGAAGCCTTAGATATGATACCTAAAGCATGAGTTAAAAAATAAAAATAAATTAGACTTCATGACGTTTAAAATATTTTGTGCTTCAAAATACATTTTCAGGAATAAATAAGCAACTCACAGCAAAGAAGAAAATAAGTGCCAATTACATATGTAATAAACAGCTCATATCCAGAATATATAAAGAACTCTTACAACCCAACAATAAAAACAGTTTAAAAATGGGGGCCGGGCATGGTGGCTCACACCTGTAATCTCAGCACTTTGGGAGGCCAAGGTGGGCAGATCACGAGGTCAGGAGATCGAGACCATCCTGGCTAACACGGTGAAACCCCATCTCTACTAAAAATACAAAAAATTAGCCTGTCGTGGTGGCGGGCGCCTATAGTCCCAGCTACTCGGGAGGCTGAGGCTGAAGAATGGCGTGAACTAGGGGGGCAGAACTTGCAGTGAGCCAAGACTGGGCCACTGCACTCCAGCCTGGGGGACAGAAGGAGACTCGCTATCTCAAAAAAAAAAAACAATAATAATAAATAAATAAAATTTAAAAAATAAAGATAAATGGGAAAAGGATCTGAATAGATATTTATCCAAAGAAGATATACAAATGGGTAATAAACACATAAGAAAATGCTTAATATCATTAGTCATCAGGGAAATACAAGTTAAACTTAAAGTGAGATGCAACTTCATACTTACTAACATGGCTGTAATAAGAAAAAGACAGGCAATAACAAGTGTTGGTGAGGATATGGCGAAATTGGAACCCTCCTACACTGCTGGTGACAAAGTAAAATAGTGCTACAGCTTTGGAAAACAGTTTGGCAGTTTTTCAAGCAATCAAACATAGAGTTAAACTATACCTCAGCAATACCACTGCTAGGTATATAGTGTCCCCAGATTAGAACATATGTCATGCTAAATTGTACATAAAGGGATAAGCAGTATTAGACATAATAGTCAAACACGGAAACCATTCAATGCTTATTAAGTTATAAACGGCTAAACAAAATGTGGTTGTCCTAGTCTGCTTGGGCTACCATAATAAAATACCATACACTGGGTAGATAAAAGAGAATTTTTTTTCCCACAGCTCTGAAGACTGAAAGTCCAGGACAAGGTGCTGGCATGGTCAGGTTTTGGCAAGGGCTCTCTTCCTGGTTTTTAGTTGGCCACTCTCTCACTGTGCCATCACAAAATCTTTCCTTAGTGCATGCACATGCAGATATATATATATATATACCTTTCTCTTCTTCTAAGACCACCTATTGGACCCACTCTTATGATTACATTTACCCTTATTTCTGCCTAAAATACCTATGTCTGAATACAGTTGCATTAATGTCAATATATTTTGACATAATCTAATAGTATTTTTTTTTTACCAAAAACAGGAATCCATTTTTTTACAAGATTATCACTGAAAAAAGGAAATGTTTAAAATGTAAGGACAAATTTTATTTATATTTGTAAATACAAAATTACAAATTTGGAAAATACACTTGATCCCCACAATGTTGTCTCTTATGTAATTTTATTCATTAAGGCTTCAACATATGAACATGGCAGAGACACAATTTGATCCAAAGTAGTGGTATATCCATACAATGGGATTTTACTCAGCTACATCAAAAATGTACTGATACTACAACATGAATGAGCCTTGAAATCATCATGCTAAGTGAAAGAAGCCAGGTACAAATGGCCACATATCTTATGATTCATTTTATATAGAATATCTAGAATAGGCCAATCTATAGACTGAAAATACATTAGTCTTAGTTGCTGAGGGCTGTTACAGGAAGATGAGGGGTTGGGAGGTGAATGATAGTGAATGCATAAGTCGCTGTTTTTGAAATGAGGAAATGTTCTAAAATTCACTGTAGTGATGATTGTTATCTCTGTGAATACACTAAAAATTCTTGAATTGTATACCTTAAATATGTGAATTGTAAGACATGTGAATTAAATCTAAATAATGCTACTATAAAATTATATGGAATATTTCCCAAAATATTTACCTAGGCCATACCCTAACCCTGCCCCAGGCAAAATCTGATCTTGATCGCATTATATGCTAGGTTCGTATTTTTGAGAATGCCACATACACAAAATCATAGTGGATGTTTGCCTTTGTTTCTAGTTTCTTTTGTTCAGCATAATGTGTTTGAGATTCATCTATATTTTGTGCATTGTTAGTGTCCTTTTGTTGTTGAACAGCATTACATTAACGGGTATAACACAATTAGTTTATCCATTCTCTTGCTAATGAACATTTGGGTTGATTTGAGTGTGGGAATTTTGTGAATAAATCTGCCCTAAAACATTTCTGTTTAATAATTTGTATGGACATATGTTTTCATTTCTCTTCCTGGATACTTAGAAGAGTAACTACTGAATTCTATGAGAAATATATGTATCAATGCAATACAATGGCAATAACTATTGGCTGATTACTATGTGCTGGGCATTGTTTTAAACTCTTTACATCTCCACAGTCATTCAATTTTCACAAAACCTGAAAAATAGTATGCTAATAACATTGCTTTGTTATTATACATATATTATTAATTATATATATATAGTAAAGTTACAAGACATTTTACTAATTTATGTAACTTATATTCTTATCTTCATTTTGTATCTTAGAAGGCTGGCATACAGCTTTTTCATAGCAATGCTTGGCAAAATACACAGATTACCTTAGTACAAACATACATAGTAAAGTTTCAATGTATCTTAAAATCTAACAGTAGTTTTTATCAAGAACAGAAATACAATTTTTTACATGAGATTATCATTAAAAAAGTATTTAAAATGTGAGAACAAATTTTATAACTAGAAAATATATTTTGATCCTACAGTGTTGTCTCTTCTGGAGTTTGATTCATTAGCCGTCTTTCTTTTTTGTATCTGCAATCTGTCCTCTATTAATTTCTCCTTCTCAGTTTACATATATATCCAAGAAACTTTCATCAACAGCAATAATAATAAAGATTACATTTAACGTTGTCTTCCAACTAGTATATATCACACTATCATTATTTAGTTGTTTTTGGAAAATTTCTAACAGGATTATTTATCTTATTCCCTTTGTGTTTCAATTGTTGATGTACAACACCTACAACTTGATTCTAATGAGAGTATTCTGAAAGAACTGACCAATGTTCTTAATTACAAATCCCCTCTTGTTTCTCAAATATGTAAGAGTTATATTTTTTACAGTTGAGTTGTATTCCATGGCATAATTTATCATTTAATTGATAAAAAAACTGTATATATGTATGATGCACAACATGAGATTTTGATATATGTATACATTGTGGAATGACTAAATCAGGCTAATATATCTATTAATTTACATAATTAATATTCTTTTGTGGTGAAAACATTTAAATCTATTCTCTTAACAGTTTCTAAGTGTATAATACATTGTTATTAACTATAGTCACCATATTGTACAATAGATCTAGTGAATTTATTCCTTCTGTCGTCTAATTAGTATCTTCCCAATCCCTCTATTCCCTAGTCTCTGGTAACCAACATTCTAATCTCTGGTTCTGATTCCACGTATAAGTGATGTAATGTGGTATTTATCTTTCTGTGCCTGACTTCACTTAACATAATGTTCTCCAGAGTTATTCATGTTATCCCAAATGTCACAATTTCCTTCTTTTTTTAAAGGCTGGAGAGTGTTTTATTGTGTGTACATACACCACATTTTATTTATCCATTCATTTGTTTATGCACCTTTTTTTTTTTTTTTTTTTGAGACGGAGTCTTGCTCTGTCACCCAGGCTGGAGAGCAGTGGCACGATCTCGGCTCACTGCAAGCTTGCCTCCCGGGTTCACACCATTCCCCTGTCTCAGCCTCCTGAGTGGCTGGGACTACAGGTGCCCGACACCACGCCTGGGTAATTTTTTTTTTATTTTTGTATTTTTAGTAGAGAGGGGGTTTCACCGTGTTAGCCAGGATGGTCTTGATCTCCTGACCTTGTGGTCCGCCCACTTCAGCCTCCCAAAGTGCTGGGATTACAGGCGTGAGCCACCGTGCCCAGCCTGTTAATGCATTTTAAGGTTGATTCCACATGTTGGCTATTATGAATAATGCTGCAATGGACATGGGAGTGCAGATATCTCTTCCAAATACTTCTTTTCTTATGTATATACATGTATTCTCTAGTGGAATTGCTAGATCATATGATAATTATATTTTAATACTTTGATACCTTCACACTTTTGCCATAATGACTATACTAATTTACATTTGTAACAACAGTGTACAGGGGTTTCTTTTTCTCCACATCCTCACTGATATTGTTATCTCTTGTCCTTTTGAGAATAACCATTCAATTTGAACGTGCAGGTTTGTTACATAGGTATACGTGTGCAATGGTGGTTTGCTGCACCTATTGATCTGTCCTCTAAGTTCCCTCCTCTCACTCGCCACCCCCTAACAGGCTCTGGTGTGTGATGTTCCCCTCCCTGTGTCCATGGGTTCTCATTGATCAACTCTCACTTATGAACAAGAACATGTGGTGTTTGTTTTTCTGTTTCTGTGTTAGCTTGCTTAGGATAATGGCTTCCAGCTTCATCCATGTCCCTGGAAAGGACATGATCTCATTTCTTTTTATGGCTGCATATTATTCCACAGTGTATATGTACCACATTTTCTTTAACAAGTCCATCATTGATGCACATTTGGGTTGGTTCCATGACTTTGCTATTGTAAATAGTGCTCCAATAAACATATGTGTGCGTGTGTCTTTATAGTAGAATGATTTATATTCTTTTGGGTATATACCTAGTAATGGGATTGCAGGGTCAAATGGTATTTCTGGTTCTAGATCCTTGAGGAATCACCACACTGTCTTCCACAATGCTTGAATTAATTTACATTCTCACCAACAATGTAAAAGTGTTCCTGTTTCTCCACAGCCCAGCCAGCATCTATTGTTTCTTGACTTTTTAATAATCACCATTCTGACTGGTGTGAGATGGTATCTCATTGTGATTTTCATTTGCATTTCTCTAATGATCAGTGATGCTGAGCTTTTTTTCACGTTTGTTGGCCATGTAAATGTCTTCTTTTGAGAAGAGTCTGTTCATATACTTTGCCCACTTTTTCATGGGGTTGTTTTTTTCTTGTAAATTTGTTTACGCTCCTTGTAAATTCTGGATATTAGACTTCTGTCAGATGAGTAGCTTGCAAAATTTTTCTCCCATTCTGTAGGTTGCCTGTTCAATCTGATGATAATGTCTTTTGCTGTGTAGAAGCTCTTTAATTAGAGCCCATTTGTCAGTTTTGACTTTTGTTGCCGTTGCTTTTGGTGTTTTAGTCATGAAGTCTTTGCCCATGCCTATGTCCTGAATGCCTGGGTTTTCTTCCAGGGTTTTTATGGTTTTGGGTTTTACATTTAAGCCTTTAGTCCATCTTGAGTTAATTTTTGTATAAGGTGTAAGGAAAGGGTCCCGTTTCTGTTTTCTGCACGTGGCTAGCCAGTTTTCTCAGCACCATTTATTGAACAGGTGATCCTTTCTCCATCACTTGTTTTTGTCAGGTTTGTCAAAGATCAGATGGTTGTAGATGTGTGGTGTTATTTCTGAGGGCTCTGTTCTGTTCCATTGGTCTATATATCTGTTTTGGTACCAGTACCAGGATGCTTTGGCTACTGTAGCCTTGAAGTATAGTTTGAAATCAGGTAGCATGATGTCTCCAGCTTTGTTCTTTTTGCTTAGGATTGTCTTGGCTATGCCGGCTCTTTTTTGGTTCCATAGGAAATATGAAAGAGTTTTTTCTAATTCTGTGAAGAATGTCAATGGTAGTTTGATGGGATTAGCATTGAGTCTATACATTACTTTGGGTGGTATGGCCATTTCATGATGTTGATTCTACCTATCCATGAGCATGGAATGTTTTTCCATTTGGTTGTGTCCTCTCTTATTTCCTTGAGCAGTGGTTTGTAGTTCTCCTTGAAGAGGGACTTTACATCCCTTATAAGTTTTATTCCTAGGTATTTTCTTCTCTTTGTAGCAATTGTGAACGGGAGTTCATTCTTGATTTGGCTCTGTGCTTGTCTATTTTTGGTGTAAAGGAATGCTTGTGATTTTTG
Source organism: Homo sapiens (assembly GCF_000001405.40). Lineage (NCBI taxonomy): Eukaryota > Metazoa > Chordata > Mammalia > Primates > Hominidae > Homo > Homo sapiens. The sequence goes on from NC_000003.12 coordinate 82,703,252, forward strand.
CACATTGGTTTTGTATCCTGAGATTTTGCTGATGTTGCTTATCAGCTTATGGAGTTTTAGGGTGGAGATGATGGGGTTTTCTAAATATATAATCATGTCATCTGCAGAGACAATTTAACTTTCTCTCCCTCTAATTGAACACCCTTTATTTCTTTCTGTTGCCTGATTGCCCCAACCAGATCTTCCAATAGTATGTTGCATAGGAGTGGTAAGAGAGGGCATTCTTGTCTTGTACCAGTTTTCAAAGGGAATGATTCCAGATTTGCCCATTCAATATGATATTGGTTATGGGTCTGTCATAAATAGTTCTTATTATTTTGAGATATATCCCATCAATATCTAGTTCATTGAGAGTTTTTAACATGAAGGGATGTTAAATTGTATCAAAGGACATTTTTGCATCTATTGAGATAATCATGTGGTTTTTGTCTTTCGGTCTGTTTATGTGATGGATTACATGTATTGATTTGCATATGTTGAACCAGCCTAGCATCCCAGGGGTGAAACCGACTTGATTATGTTGGGTAAGTTTTTCAATGTGCTGCTGGATTCAGTTGCCAGTATCTTATTGAGGATTTTCATGTTGGTATTCATCAGGGATATTGGCCTGAAGTTTTATTTGTTGTCATTGTGGTGATGTCTCTGCCAGGTTTTGGTATCAGGATGATGCTGGCCTCATAAAATGAGTTAGAGAGGACTCCCTCCTTTTCAATTGTTTGGAATAGCTTCAGAAGGAATGGTACCAGCTCCTCTTTCTACCTCTGGTAGAATCCGGCCGTGAATCCATCTGGTCCTGGGCTTTTTCTGGTTGGTAGTCTATTAATTACTGCCTCAGTTTCAGAACTTGTTCTTGGTCTATTAAGGGAATTGACTTCTGCCTGGTTTAGTCCTGGGAGGCTCTATGTGTCCAGAAATTTATCCATTTCTTCTAGATTTTTCAGTTTATTTGTGCAGAGCTGTTTATAGTGTTATCTGATAATAGTCTATATTTCTGTGGGGTCAGTGGTGATATATCCTTTATCATTTTTTATTGATTCTTGTCTCTTTTCTTCGTTATTTGTCTATCTAGTGAACTATTTATTTTGTTAAATTTTGCCAAAAATATAGTTCCTGGGTTCGTCAGTCTTTTGGAGGGTTTTTGTGACTCTATCTCCTTCAATTCTGCTCTGATTTTAGTTATTTCTTGTCTTCTGCTAGCTTTTGTATTAGTTTGCTCTTGCCTCTCTAGCTCTTTTAATTGTGACGTTAGGGTGTTGATTTGAGATCTTTCTAGCTTTCTGATGTGGGCATTTAGTGCTGTAAATTTCCCTCTTAACACTGCTTTAACTGTATCCCAGAGATTCTGGTACATTGTCTCTTTGTTCTTATTGGTTTTGAAAAACTTCTTGATTTCTGCCTTTATTTCATTATTTACCCAGGAGTCATTCAGGAGCAGGTTGTTCAATTTCCATTTAATTGTGTGGTTTTGAGTGAGTTTCTCAATCCTAAGTTCTAATTTGATTGCACTGTGGTCTGAGAGACTGTTTGTTATGATTTCAGGTCTTTTGCATATGCTGAGGTATGTTTTACTTCCAACTATGTGGTCGATTTTAGAATAAGTGCCATGTGGCACTGAGAAGAATGTATATTCTGTTGATTGGGGTGGAGAGTTCTGTAGATGTCTATTAAGTCCACTTGATCCAGAGCTGAGTTCAAGTCCTGAATATCCTTGTTAATTTTCTGTCTCATTGATCTAATACTGACAGTGTGGTGTTAAAGTCTCCCACAATTATTGTGTGGGTGTCTAAGTGTCTTTTAGGTCTCTGAGAACTTGTTTTGTGGATCTGGGTGCTCCTGTATCGAGTGCATATGTATTTAGGATAGTTAGTTCTTCTTGTTGAATTGTTCCCTTTATCATTATCTAATGCCCTTCTTTGTATTTCTTTATCTTTGTTGGTTTAAACTGTGTTTTGTTAGAGACTAGGATTTCAACCCCTGCATTTTTTTTCTTTCCATTTGCTTGGTAAATTTTCCTCTATCCCTTTATTTTGAGCCTATATGTGCCTTTGCACATAAGATGGGTCTCCTGAATATAACACTGATGGGTCTTGACTCTTTATACAATTTGCCACTCTGTGTCTTTTAATTGGGACTTTTAGACCATTTACATTTAAGGTTAGTATCATTATGTGTGAATTTGATCCTATAATCATGATGCTATCTGGTTATTTGCGCACAAGTTGATGCAGTTTCTTCACAGTGTCATTGGTCTTTATATTTTGGTGTGTTTTTGCAGTGGCTGCTACCAGTTCTTTTCTTTCCATATTTAGTGCTTCCTTCAGGAGCTTTTGCCAGGCAGGCCTGGTGGTGATGAAATTCCTCAGCATTTGCTTTTCTGGAAAGGATTTTATTTCTCCTTCACTTATGAAGCATAGTTTGGCTCAATATGAAATTCTGGGTTGAAAATTCTTTTCTCTAAGAATGTTGAATACTGGGCCCCAATCTCTTCTGGTTAGTAGGGTTTCTGCTGAGGGGTCCACTGTTAATCTGATTGGCTTCCCTTTGTAGGTGAACTGGTCTTTCTCTCTGGCTACCTTTAACTTTTTTTTCCTTCATTTTAACCTTGGAGAATCTGATGATTATGTGTCTTGGGGTTGATCTTCTCATGGAGTATCCTAGTGGTGTTCCCTGTATTTCCTGAATTTGCATATTGGCCTGTCTTGCTAGGTTGCAGAATTTCTCCTAGATAATATCCTAAAGAGTGTTTTCCAGCTTGTTTCCATTCTACCCATCTCCTTCAGGTACTCCAATCAAACACAGGTTCAGTCTTTTTACATAGTCCCATATTTCTTGAAGGCTTTGGTCGTTCCTTTCCTTTCTTTTTTCTCTAATCTTGTCTGCATGCCTTATTTCAGCAAGGTGCTCTTCAAACTTTTATATCCTTTCTTCTGCTTGGTTGATTCAGCTATTGATACTTGTGTATCCTTCACAGAGTTCTCATGCTGTGTTTTTCAGCTCCATCAGGTCATTTATGTTTCCCTTTTAACTGGTTGTTCTAGTTAGCAGCTCCTCTAACGTTTTATTAAAGTTCTTAACTTCTTTGAATTGGGTTAGAACATGTTCCTTTAGCTCAGCGGAGTTTTTTATTACCCATCTTCTGAAGCCTACTTCTGTCAATTCATCCATCTTATCCTCTGTCCAGTTCTGTGCCCTTGCTGGAGAGGCACTGTGATCATTTGGTGGAGGAGAAGCACTCTGGCTTTTTGGGTTTTCAGTGTTTTTTCATTGATTCTTTCTCATCATCATGAGTTTGTCTAGTTTGGATTTTTGAGGCTGCTGACTCTTGGATTGGGTTTTTTGGGGACTTTTTGTTGTTGTTGATGCTGTTGTTGTTGCTGTTTGTTTTTCTTTCAATGGTCCAGTCCCTCTTCTGTAGGGCTCCTGCTGTTTGCTTGGAGTTCACTTCAGGTTCTGTTCATGTGGTTCACTCCCTTGCTTGGAGATGTCACTCAAGGAGGCTGCAGAACAGCAAGGATGTGTGCCTGCTTCTTCTTCTGGGATCTCTGACCTCAAGGGACACCAAACTGATGTCAGTAGGATTGTTCCTGTATAGGGTGCCTGAAAACCCTTATTGGAGGGTCTGACTCAGTTGGGTGGCACAAGGAACAGGACATGTTTAATGAAGCACTTTGTCCCTCGGTGGAGGGGGTGTGCTTCGCTAGGGGGAATCCACTCATCTGGGCTGCCTGGATTCCTCAAAACTACCAGGGGTAAAGACTAAGTTTTCTGGTCCAAAGAGACTGCGGCCACTCCTCCCCCTAGGGGCTCAGGCCCAGGAGATCGAGGTTCTGTCCCTGAGCCTCTGGCTGGAGTTGTTGAAGTTCCTGCAGGGAGTCTCGGCCCAGTGAGAAAGGATGTGTCAGGGTCAGTCCTGAAGAGGTGTTCTGGCCATAGTCTGCCACAGCCGGTGTGGGCTTTGGGTGACACCTTGTGGGGACCAAGCTGTCCAGCCTCCCTGGCTCCAGCAGGGGAAAAGCATGGCTTGGAGTTATAGAGATGGATGCCACACTTCTCCAACCCAGGAAGCCTAGCATGTTAGGCAGTTATGAGTCCCAGTGCGGCTGCTGCCCCTCCCCTAAGGAGCTCAAATGGCTTAGACCACAGGCAGTTGCAGCTGTGGTGATGGTTGCCCCTTTCCCTGGGAGCTGGGCAGACTTAAGCAGATACTAGCTGAGATGCTGTTGAAAATCTGAACAGTTCTGGGGTTGGTAACGCAGGCCCAGGTAGCGTGGGTTCGCAAGGGGAACTTTTTGATCCATGGGTTACACAGTTCTGTGGAAAAAGCAGTTTCCCCAGCTGGGTAGCATGCTCACTCAGAGCCTCCCTTGGCTGAGGAGTGGGGGCTCTCCTGTCCTGTGTGGCTCTCAGGAGGGCCTCTGCACCACATGGCTCTTCCTTCCTCTCCGTGGATCATGCCAGCCGTCTAGTCAGTTCCGATGCAAGAACCTGGATACCTCAGTTGCTGGTGCAGGATTCACACACTAATTATAGTTCTTTTCGATGGGAGCCTCTGATTGCCGCTTCTTCTCGTCAGCCATCTGATGTGAACATTTTGTCATGTACCTGTTGTTCATTTGTTGTTTTCTTTTCAGAAATGTCCTTGGTCCATTTTTTAAAATTAGGTTATTTGTTTTCTTACTACTGAGATGTTTGAGTTCCTTATGTATTTTGGATATTAACCCCTTGTCAGATGTATGGTTCACAAATATTTTCTCTCATTCTGTAGATTGTCTTTTTACTCTGTTGATTTTTTCCCTTACTATGCAGAAGCTTGAGAGTTCTAACATTTATTTCTCCTGTCTACATTTCCTACAAAATTATATCCATTCCAAAGTGTTATATAACTGTGGTTATACACTAAAGATTACTCAATATATCATTAGATGTCTACCTCAAGATTCAGAATGTATTTTCAACTGCTTAATTGGCATTTCCACCTAACTGTCCAGTAGGTTGTTCAGACACAATGCATAAAAAGCATAATTTCTTCCATCTTACCCACTCCTCAGCCAAACAGTATTAATGATGATGATGATGATGATGGTGAAGATAATGCTGATAATGATAAAGACTCAAAACACATCTACCATTTCTTCTCTTTCTCCTCCTTAATTAGGAGTGTTGTAATGTAACCATTTGCTAAGTCCTATATATACTCTCTCAAGATATCCCTCTAGTCATTGCCTTTTCTCTTATTTTATTCAGATATATTCCTATTTATGTCATGTCTCACCTTGTTTTTTGAATACCTTTAAATTGATTTTCATATAACTACCCTTTTCTCCCTCTCTCTCCAATTCTCCAGATAATCATTTGTATAGTATTAAAAGCTAATCTGATTATGTCACACTTTTCCTTAAAGTGTTTTACAATTGCTTTTGGGGTAAAACCCAAAGTTCTGGGCCTATAATATGAGGCTTCCCATCATCAAGAGCCAAACTACATTTGCAACTTTGTCTCCTATACATTATCTGACTGCAGAAAGTTATACACCACATAATACAATACAATGCCTTCAATAAAACTGACTATGCACATATTTCTTCTTTATAAACACGTAAAAACTAGATAAAGAATTACTTAGAAAAATATTCTTATTATCTGACACAGGATAGATATTCAACAAATATTTACTGTTGTGAAAGGATTAAAGTCATATTTTCTATAAAATTCTGGAAGCCATGTAGATGCTTACACAGAATTCTTTTCAAGAAACAAGCTGATACACAAGTGCAATTAGCCAACAGCCTCCAGCTGCAGCACTTTGGGAAATAACCACAGCATTTGAGGTGAGGCAATTCTCTTCTGAACAATTTCTACTCAATGATTTGACATAGAAGGGGTACTAGCGTCTCACCATTTCTGCCCAGCACAGGGCAATCTTTTCACTGTAGCTCACTGTTTGGGATTGAGGCTTTTTCTAAAAGCTTCACTGACATACGAGGCTATTTCCACCTAATCTGCTTTTCTTCCTCCTCTAATTTTACCGGGATCAAATTAGCATTGCAGTCTAAAACTCGAACTACTCCTGATCTCTCTGCTCTTTATATTTCATGGGTTGTGATGGTTAATTGTATGTGTCAACTTGACTGAGCCAAGGAATGCTCAAATTGCTGGTAAAGCATTATTTTGGGTGTGTGTCTGTGGGGGATTTTCTGAGAGAGATTAACATTTGAATTGATAAACTAAGTAAGAATATTCCCTTCACTATTGTGGGTGGGCATTGTCTAGTCTGTTGAGTGCCAGAATAGAACCAGAATGCAGAGAAAGAGTGAATTCTTTTTCTCCCTTCTTGAGCTGGTTCATCTGTCATCTGCCTCTACTCTGACAACAAAGATCCTAGTTCATGAGCCTTTGGACTTCAGGATTTATATCTGTGTCCCCACATTCACACACCCTCATTCTCAGGTCTTTGAACTCAGACTGGGAATTCATTATTGATTTTCTTGATTCTCAAGCCTTCAGGTTCAACTGGAATATCACCAGCATTCCCTGTTCTCCATCTTGCAGATGACAGGTTAAAGGACTTCTCATCCTCTATAGCTGCATGAGCCAACTCCTAGTCTCTCTATCTCTCTCTTGGACAGTATACACACACATACACTTACACACACAAACACACACACGTGTGTGTATGTTTCTCTGTAGAACCTTAATACCCAAGGGTTATCCCCAATAAATTTCTTGCACTTCTTCAATAAATTCATCTTGGTTTTTATTTCATTGAGTTCCTAGACTGGCATTGAAACCTTTTTTCATCTCCAAAACTGAAAGTACCCTTAGTAATAGAATTTTTTATATAGCATTATTATACATTTTGAAAATTATCTTTTAAGTATTTGTGTTGTTCTTTTCACTAGAGTTTCAACTATGTCATTGACTATACTAGACTTTACTCACGATGCTGATAAAGGCATACCTGAGACTGGGAGAGAAAAAGAAGTTTAATTGGACTTTACAGTTCCACATAGCTGGGGAGGCCTCAGAATCATGGTGGGAGGCAAAAGGCACTTTTACTTGGTAGAGGCAACAGAAAATGAGGAGGAAGCAAAAGCAGAACCCCCTGATAAACCCTTCAGATTTTGTGAGACTTATTCACTATCATGAGAATAGCATAGGAAAGCCTGGCCCCCATGATTCAATTACCTCCCCATGGGTCCCTCCCACAACACCTGAGAATTCTGGGAGATATAATTCAAGTTGAGATTTGGGTGGGGGACACAGCCAAACCATATAATTCCACCCCTGGTCCTTCCAAATCTAATGTCCTCACACTTCAAAACCAATCATGCCCTCCCAACAGTCTCCCAAAGTCTTATTTCAGCATTAATCCAAAAATCCACAGTCCAAAGTCTCATCTGAGATAAGGCAAGTCCCTTCCACCTATGAGCCTGTAAAATCAAAAGCAAGCTAGTTACTTCTTAGATACAATGGGGGTACAGATGTTGGATAAATACAGCTATTCCAAATGGGAGAAATTGGCCAAAACAAAGGGGTTACAGGTCTCATGAAAATCCGAAATCCAGCAGGGCAGTAAAATTTAAAAGCTCCAAAGTGATCTCCTTTGACTCCATGTCTCACATCCAGGTTATGCTGATGTAAGAGATAGGTTCCCATGGTCTTGGACAGCTCCGCCCCTGTGGCTTTGCAGGGTACAGCCTCCCCCTGGCTGCTTTCATGGGATGGCGTTGAGCGTCTGCGGCTTTTCCAGGTGCACAGTGCAAGCTGTCAGAGAATCTACCATTGTGGGGTCTGGAGGACACTGGCCCTTTTCTCACAGCTCCACTAGGCAGTGCCCCAGTGGAGACTCTGTGGGGGCTCTGACCCCACATTTCCCTTCCACACTGACCTAGCAGAGATTCTCCAAGAGGGCCCTGCCCCTGCAGAAAACTGTCCCCTGGGCATCCAGGCATTTCCATACATCTTCTGAAATCTGGGTGGAGGCTCCCAAGCCTCAATTCTTGACTTCTGTGCACCCACAGGATCAACACCACGTTGAAGCTGCCAAGGTCTGGGGCTTGAAACCCCTGAAACCATGAACCAAGCTGTACCTTGACCCCTTTCAGCAATGGCTGGAGCAGCTGGGATGCAGGGCACCAAGTCCCTAGGCACACAGCATGGGGACCCTGGGTCCCGCCTACAAAACCATATTTCCTCCTAGGATTCTGGGTCTGTGAGGGGAAGGGCTGCCATGAAGACCTGTGACATGCTCTGGAGACGTTTTCCCCGTTGTCTTGTGGATTAACATTCGGCTCCTTGTTGCTTATGGAAATTTCTGCAGCCAGCTTGAATTTCTCCTCAAAAAATAGATTTTTCTTTTCCACTGCATCATCAGGCTGCAAATTTTCTGAACTTTTACGCTCTGTTTCCCTTTTAAAATGGAATGCATTTAATAGCACCCAAGTAACCTTTTGAATGCTTTGCTGCTGAGGAATTTCTTCAGCCAGATACCCTAAATCATCTCCCTCAAGTTCAAACTTCCGCATATCTCTAGGGCAGGGGCAAAATGCCACCAGCCTGTTTGCTAAAATATAACAAGAGTCACTTTGCTCCAGTTCCCAACAAGTTCCTCATCTCCATCTGAGACCACCTCAGCCTGGACCTTATTGTTCATATCACTATCGGCATTTTGGGCAAAGCTATTAAAAAGTCTCTGGAAAGTTCCAAACTTTTCCACATTATCCTCTCTTCTTCTGAGCCCTCCAAACTGTTCCAACCTTTGATTTTTATCTAGGTCCAAAGTGGCTTCCACATTTTTGGGTATCTTTTCAGCAACACTCCACTCTACTGGTACCAATGTACTGTATTAGTTCATTTTCATGCTGCTGAAAAGACATACCTGAGACTGGGAAGAAAAAGAGGTTTAGTTGGACTTACAGTTCTATATGGCTGGGGAGGCCTCAGAATCATGGTGGGAGGTGAAAGGCACTTCTTACATGGCAGTGGCAACAGAAAATGCGGAGGAAGCCAAAGCACAAACTCCTGATAAACGCTTCAAATCACGTGAGACTTATTCACTATCAATGAGAATAGCATGGGAAAGACCAGCCCCCATGATTCAATTACCTCCCCCTGGGCCCCTACTTAACATGAGGAAATTCTGGGAGACATAATTCAAGTTGAGATTTGGGTGGGGACACAGCCAAACCATATTATTGACAGAATAAACAAATGTTAAATAAATGCATTCATTTATTCATTGTTTTAAATTCATCCTTAAAATGCATTCTACCCATACATAGATTGCAGGTGTGCATTGTTAAAGCAAATTTAATATGGCCTGAGAAGGAATCTGTACTTCTATATTTGAGTCCTTGTGGGTGAATCATAACCTAGCTTAATAGGCAGACAAAATTGAAAACCTGACTTAGTAGCATGTGCCTGTAACAATAGCTGATTGTTGGACAATCCCAGCGGCCATACTTCAACCACTCATAGACTGCTGAGTGTTCAAACTGCATTCAAATAAGGCAAACACTGGGCTGTAACCAATTTCACTGTTTCTGTACCTCACTTCTGATTCCTGTACATCACTTTACCTTTTTTGTCTATAAATTTGTTCGACCACGAGGCACCCCTGGAGTCTCTCTGAAACTGCTGTGATTCTGGAGGCTGCTCGATTCACATATTGTTTCTTTTTTTTGCTCAATTAAACTCCATCAAATTTAACTTGTCTGAAGTTTTTTTTTTTTTTTCAGCATGCACCCCCAAATCTGGTTAAAATCACGTTTAACTCCTCATTCAGGAAAATTTTCTGAAATATTTGCTGTTTTCATGTTCCAAAATAACATCACAGAGGTGGTGTTTCAGCATGCCATACTGTACACTGAAATTTAGTAATTAGGGCTAAAAATAATTCTCCCAACTCTTCATTTTCAAGTCACAAAATAATCATGACTTTTTCTTTAAATCACACTAAGAGTAAATACACTGACATTGACAAAGTTCAAAATGAACTCAAGTAATGTTAAAAGGTATAGAGTAATAGTAGTGTAGCTTTGTACTGTTAACCAATGTAATTGATGGTATAATTAGCCATGAGGAGAATCTGAGCAATTTATCTAGTGAAACTTGAGTCATAACTTGAGGAAACAACTGGAATATCGCTAGACTAAGAACAAATAAGCCTGCAAAATTATATGACTTCAATTAAGTTATATTTTTAACATGACAGCTCTTTGTATAACAGATTACTTTTCAAAAAGAAAATTCTAAACTCAAAATTCCTACATATTAAATTAGTTTGCTAGTTATTATAATTCCTAAAATACGTTCTTCTTGATGTAAATTAATTCCAAATTAGAATAAAACCAACTAAGAATTATAATATGCACTTCAAAAGACCACCTACCTTTGAAAATGTACAATCATTTGCATTTCAATTTCTTAACTTAAACCTTAAGTAAATATTATTTGAATTTACTCTTACTTTGTTTTATTTACGTAATCACAACAGACACAAATTTATCACACCACAGTTTCTGTGCGATTTTGGTATTATTTCTGACAGTAGTTGTGAGATTTGTTACCATATTTTAGCTAATAAATGCTGGGAATATGCTGATATTCTTAAATTTGTCAACACAAATTTTTATGTGACCATTGCTTATTAAGTAGCAGAAGGAGTATAAAAACAATAAAAGACATATCACTTATCCTTAATGAACTTGCAAACTAACTGAAAGGAGAAAATAGTTATGTATGAGACAAACAGAACAGAGTAAAAATTGAAGCAATATATTCTCAAAATGAAAATGACCTGCACATCTGCAAATGCTTTATCCAATTTTTAAAAAATCATTGTTATGTAGGTACTGGAAACATTTGATAAACATATGACTGAAAACTTTACATATGGAATGAGGAAAAATTAACAAGAAACAACACAAAAATTAAAATAAAATAAGAATTATTATGATATTATGCATGGTGACAGAGGGAGAAGTAGAGACCAAGTAATCAAAAGTACAAATAAAAGCACTGGGGAATCAAGGTGAAAACTGCATTCATCAGAATAAAAATGGGACATAATTAAAAGGGCAAAGTAAAGTTTAGAGAAAAAGATACATAACAGGTTTACTACAATATAATAAGTATAAAGAAACATTTACAAAGCAGTAAGAAGGCCAGGTGCGGTGGCTCATGTCTGTAATCCCAGCACGTTGGAAGGCCGAGGTGGGCAGATCACTTGAGGCCAGGCGTTCAAGACCAGCCTGGCCAACATGGTGAAACCCTGTCTCTACTAAAAATACAAAAAATTAGTCAGGTGTGGTGGTGGACGCCTGTAATTCCAGATACTAGGGAGGCTGAGGCACAAGAATCGCTTGAACCCTGGAGGCGGAGATACAGTGAGCCGAGATCGCATCCCTGCACTCCAGCCTGGGTGGCAGAAAGAAAAAATATAAACTTCTTAACAGAATAGTAAAAATTAAAAATAAACCATTCACAGAAAAAATATAAACTGACAGTAAAATGTGCTAAATATTTAGCTCTATTAGTTGGGTAAGCAGAATAATACCCTCCCTGCTGTAGGAGGTCGAAGTCGTAATCTCTGGAACCTGTATATGTGTTGAGTTGCATGGCAAGAGGTATTAAGTTTGCTGATGGTATTAAGGATGCCAAATAGCTGACCGTAAAATAAAGAGAGTATTCTGGATTACGTAGGCGCATACGTGTAATCAAGAGGGTCCTTAAAAGATAGGAGAGAAAGGCAGAAAAATCAGAATGTTGTGCTGTGAGAACTGAATGGGCCATTGCTGGGTTTGAAGATGAAAGAGAAGAAGCAGCTAGCAAAGTAGGCAGCCTTTAAAAGTCGGAAAGGACAAAGAAATGGATTGTCTTCTACCTAGAGCCTTCAGAAGAAACTGAGAGGTGACAGCATGCTGGCAGTCCTCACAGCCCTCGCTCGCTCTTGCTCGCTCTCGGCGCCTCCTCTGTGGGACTTGAGGAGCCCTTCAGCCCACCGCTGCACTGTGGGAGGCCCTTTCTGGGCTCGCCAAGGCCGGAGCCGGCTCCCTCAGCTTGCGGGGAGGTGTGGAGGAAGAGGCGCGGGCGGGAACCGGGGCTGCGCGCGGCGCTTGCGGGCCAGCTGGAGTTCCGGGTAGGCGTCGGCTTGGCGGGCCCCGCACTCGGAGCAGCCGGCCCGCCCTGCCGCCCGGGCAATGAGGGGCTTAGCACCTGGGCTAGCGGCTGCGGAGGGTGTACTGGGTCCGCCAGCAGCGCCAGCCCACCGACGCTGCAATCGATTTCTCACTGGGCCTTAGCTGCATTCCCGCGGGGCAAGGCTCGGGACTTGCAACCCGTCACGCCTGAGCCTCCCCCGCTCAGTGGGCTCCTGTGCAGCCGGAGCCTCGCCAAGGAGCGCCGCCCCCTGCTCCACGGCGCCCAGTCCCATCGACCACCCAAGGGCTGAGGAGTGCGGGCTCACACAGGGCACTGGACTGGCAGACAGCTCCACCTGCAGCCCCCATGCGGGATCCACGGGGTGAAGCCAGCTGGGTTCTTGAGTCTGGTGGGGACTTGGAGAACCTTTATGTCTAACTCAGGGATTGTAAATACACCAATGGGCACTCTGTATCTAGCTCAAGGTTTGTAAACACACCAATCAGCACTCTGTGTCTAGCTCAGGGTTTGTGAATGCACCAATCGACACTCTGTATCTAGCAGCTCTGGTGGGGACCTGGAGAACCTTTGTGTGGACACTCAGTATCTAGCTACTCTGGTGAGGAGATGGAGAACCTTGGTGTCTAGCTCAGGGATTGTAAACGCACCAATCAGTGCCCTGTCAAAACAGACCACTCAGCTCTACCAATCAGCACGATGTGGGTGGGGCCAGATAAGAGACTAAAAGCAGGCTGCGCGAGCCAGCAGTGGCAACGCTGGGGTCCCCATCCACACTGTGGAAGCTTTGTTCTTTTGCTCTTTGCAATAAATCTTGCTACTGCTCACTCTTTGGGTCCACACTGCCTTTATGAGCTGTAACACTTACCAGCGAAGGTCTGCAGCTTCACTCCTGAAGCCAGTGAGACCAGGAGCCCACAGGGAGGAACAAACAACTCCAGACGCTCTGCCTTAAGAGCTGTAACACTCACAGCAAAGGTCTGCAGCTTCACTCCTGAGCCAGCGAGACCACGAACCCATCAGATGGAAGAAACTCCGAACACATCCGAACATCAGAAGGAACAAACTCCGGACACACCGCCTTTAAGAACTGTAATACTCACTGAGAAGGTTCGCGGCTTCATTCTTGAAGTCAGTGAGACCAAGAACCCACCAATCCCGGATACAAAATGAAGCCCTGCTTACATCTTAGTTTAGGCCCACTGACATCCGTTTTGACCGCTTGACTTCCAGAATGATAAAATAATACGTTTCTATTTTTAAGCCACCAAATTTGTGGTTGTTACAGCAACAATAGAAAACAAATGTATTCACAATCAAGTCAAATCAAATTAAGGCATTCACTAGCTAAACTTACTCTTCTCCACTTGGCACAGATACCATAAATAATAGCCCATTGTGTCCATTGGAAAGCTTACATTTGTATTTGTTACAATTGGGTGTATAGGAATTATTTGGTACAAATATTCTAATAAATAATTTTGCAATATGTATAAAAAATTTAAGGATTTTTAAAAAACATTATTGATTCATTACTCCCAATGTAAGTTTTTTTAACCTAAGAAAATAGATAACAGTGAACATTATTACTTTCTTTTATGAATATTCTTGGTCTTTCCAAAACAAAACAAGCTATTGGTTTAATAAATTATGGTATAATCAAATAATGAAACTCTATGCATTTGTTAAAGTAACTTTTTAAAAGAATATCTTGTAACATAGAATAACAGATCCTAGTGCATTACCCACTCTTTGGGCTTTATCGCTTTTCCACCATCGTTATCTGCATCACTGCCTGCAGGTTTTCTACACGGCCAGGGTTGGTCTCTGCCTGCTCAATAGTCAAGTCAAAAGAGGCAGGAAATTAACACCCTCTGGAGGCAGCCTTTGAGGAATGATCCATGGGAGGTGGAGTATAAATACCTCAGCTCTGTTTCCTCTAGAGATATAACTAAGGAATGGGTTTTACATTGTTTCTCAGAGTTTCCTCAAGGTTTTAAACTTCAATCACCCACAGGGGTAGTGGGCTTTATCATAGTATACATCCTTTGTGGCTTCCCTTCCTTCTTGTCTCACTTCTCCATTCCAAACTAGGATTTATTTCTTTTCCCTAAAACAAAACAAAATGTTTAATCTGAAACCCTTACAAAACACGTAAAATTTATATTTAAAAAATCTAAATATTTGAGGAGAGAACGAAACCTAAGTATATGCCCAGGTATAACATGATTGGTGGAGATAGCTTTAAAAAAGTTCCTGAAAAATTTAGTTTTTAAAAGGTTACCCTAGTAGAAGGTGACTTAACTGCCTAATTTCTTGATTCCAAATCCAGCTGATGAGGAGAAGCTCATGTGGCTGCTCCCTTGGTCTTCTGTTGCACATCTGCATCTAGAGAAGATACTCGGGAGTTCCTGTTCTGACCTCTGAGTCTCAGCGTATTTAGCTTATTCTTTGGTCTGGGAGATCATTTCCTCTTTCTGATATTTTAAATACATTTTCTTCGATCATGCTGGACTTTTAAAATTCTACTGTATCCTCTCTCAACAAAAAGAAGCCACATTTGTTACAGATTCTGTCATTTGAGTGCTTTCTGGATCATTAATGGATAATTAATAGAATCTTAGGGCAGCAAAACTTTTTTTTTACTCCCCAAAATTGGTAAGATAGATGCCATACAAACAAAGCATTCATCTGTTCTTTTTACTGCTCATCAGTTTATATTGGCACTTTATAGGAAGGCATAGTTTAATTTACAGCACTTGTGTAGGTAAAATTTTGCTGGAAATACTATTGCTTCAGGGATTCAGGGAAACATTTTAAATAGAGTAAAGATGTTAAACATGCCTCTTCATTGTCTTCAGGTCCCCAGATCTAGATGAAGATACCAGAACTCAGTGAAAAAGGTGGAGTCAAAGATTACATCAAAGGTCACAGTTTCTAGAAAAGTTGACTCTCTTAGCTTATTGAAACTGTAGTTCATATAGATACATTTCAGGCATCTTTTACTTCCTAGAAGCAAAGGAATCTTATGTAAGTGTCACAGTATTGTAAATCATACTTGTAGTTTGTTTCATACTTCTCTAAATTGTAACAAATTTGTATAAGAAAAAATAGGATGAAGTTGTGGAAAAATTATTTATTTGTTTATTGGCTTTTGTGAGTTTTAATTTTTCTTTTAGATAAAAAGTTTATTGCTGAAACAGAAAAAATATTAAATATGACAAAGTTAACATTAATGTAATAGCACAACAAAAAATTATTGTGGACCAGTTATTTTTCCCTAGATTGTTGATGTAACATTATACATAACAAATAAAAATTAGTACTCTAACACAGAAGCTTATTTAGAATTAGTTCTCTAGCATAAAATAAATATGAATTATAAAATTCTATTGTCATAACAAAATCTATGATTTATTCTTTGGGGTATATTCTGTTACCCAGAAAAATTACTTTGCCACATTAAAGTTATTAAATGTAGCTTGTCTGTTTCTATGGGTATTAATTAGGGTAGCATTTTCTTTTTTTTTTTTTTTACGATAATCTGGGTGATTATACTGACATTAGCAGGTACATTGTAATACTTGCCCTTTTTTCTCCTCCTTTATAAGTGAACGGTGAATTTGTCATATATCTGCTCAATGGATGAATTAGCATAAGACATATCTGATAAATCTGTTTTTGGCTCTAATATACTACCTGTTTTTGGTTTTGTTTTCCTTTCAAACAAGTCAATTGAAAAAATAATTTCAGTTGTGCTATTTAGGTGTGATTGAAGTTGCTTCAGTGAAAGGAGAGTGGAAATACATATTAGTCCATGATATATCTCTGTTAGATAATACATATTTCAAAGGAATTAGTACTAGGTCAACTGACAAATATAGATACATGTAAGAAACTAGTGGTAAAGTTTTCCACGGTAGCCAGTGGCTTACATGGGCTACGAGGGCCATGCTGGAGGCTAAGCAGAAAGCAAATCCCAAAAAGAGACAGAAGAATTTTGCCAAAAAATAAAAATAATTTCCAAAATGTCAAGCACAAAATAGTAAAACCAGAATGCTAAATAAACATAACAAGTTAAAGGAATATTCAACAATGATTTGTTGAAAGCCAGTCAGGTGTTGTGCCTTGTGCTAAGCCTTGGCATGGAGTGGAGGATAAGGAAGACCAGACTTGGTTTCTTTTCTTGTTAAGCTTATAGTTTACTACAGGATATTGACATTAAATAAATAAATTCACACATGTAAATAATATCACGTTATGTTAAGTGCCATGAAGAAAAATAATAGAATGTTATGAGAAAAATCAAGGGAGTGATAATGTATCTAGGCAATAAAATAAAGCACTTTTCCCTCATTGAAATTTAAGCTGAGACCTAAAGCACTGGGTTGAAATAAGGCTATAAGTAAGGAAAATAGCTTAGCTTATTCTGGGAAATAATAGATGGATAGTATATTTTACCTACAGTGACCAAGAAAAGAATGATATGGGAGGAGGCAGATTATGTTTTTAGATTCAGAGTCTTATAGGTCATCCTAACCATTCTGTATTTTATCCTAAGAACAATGAGAACCAGTCAAGAGTTTTAGGAAAATAGGAAAGAAAACATCAAATTCAAATTTTACAAAGTTCATATTGGCTTTCTAGGATAATAATCAGGAGATAGGAGCACAGGGCAGATCGATAACAGTACAATTGAAAGACAATGTTGGTTTGAGCCTGATTGGCAGTGGTGGAAATGAACAGTAATGGAAGAAATGTGTATCTATGCCTACACACACACACACACACACACAGAGAGAGCGAGAGAGAGAGAGAGACAATGGTATGAATTAACAAGACTGGCTCATGCAGAGGATGAGAAAAAAAAAGAGGTGCCAAAATCTATTCTTAGTTCTCCAATGAAACCCTACAGAATCAAGGTAGAGCTCCAGGGTTGAAATGACTTCAGAATACAGTGACACACACAGTGATAGGTAAGATAATTTTCTACTTCTGTGATTGATAACTTGAATGTGCATATTAAACTATATTAAGCTGTTTTATTGCCTGAGGTCAAGTAATAATACTAATAAATTATAAACTGACATCAGATAAAAGAGATATATACTCACCCCTACACATATCTCTATATGTGTATATAATACAAATATATATTTAGTGCCTTAGAAATAGCTCTTCCTTCTAGGGTTTTATAGTTTCAGGTCTAACATTTAAGTCTTTAATCCATCTTGAATTAATTTTTGTATAAGGTGTAAGGAAGGGATCCAGTTTCAGCTTCCTACATACGGCTAGCCAGTTTTCCCAGCACCATTTATTAATAGGGAATTGTTTCCCCATTTCTTGTTTTTGTCAGGTTTGTCAAAGATCAGATGGTTGTAGATATGTGGCATTATTTCTGAGGGCTCTGTTCTGTTCCATTGGTCTATA
This sequence comes from Homo sapiens, assembly GCF_000001405.40. Lineage (NCBI taxonomy): Eukaryota > Metazoa > Chordata > Mammalia > Primates > Hominidae > Homo > Homo sapiens. The sequence continues at coordinate 82,720,841 of NC_000003.12, forward strand.
TCTCTGTTTTGGTACCAGTACCATGCTGTTTTGGTTACTGTAGCCTTGTAGTATAGTTTGAAGTCAGGTAGCATGATGCCTTCAGCTTTGTTCTTTTGGCTTAGGATTGACATGCAGGCTCTTTTTTGGTTCCATGTGAACTTTAAAGTAGTTTTTTCCAATTCTATGAAGAAAGTCATTGGTAGCTTGATGGGGATGGCATTGAATCTATAAATTACCTTGGGCAGTATGGCCATTTTCACAATATTGATTCTTCCTACCCATGAGCATGGAATGTTCTTGCATTTGTTTGTATCCTCTTTTATTTCATTGAGCAGTGGTTTGCAGTTCTCCTTGAAGAAGTCTTTCACGTCCCTTGTAAGTTGGATTCCTAGGTATTGTATTCTCTTTGAAGCAATTGTGAATGGGAGTTCACTCATGATTTGGCTCTCTGTTTGTCTGTTATTGGTGTATAAGAATGCTTGTGATTTTTGTACATTGATTTTGTATCCTGAGACTTTGCTGAAGTTGCCTATCAGCTTAAGGAGATTTTGGGCTGAAATGATGGGGTTTTCTAGGTATACAATCATGTCATCTGCAAACAGGGACAATTTGACTTCCTCTTTTCCTAATTCAATACCCTTCATTTCCTTCTCCTGACTGATTGCCCTGGCCAGAACTTCCAACACTATGTTGAATAGGAGTGGTGAGAGAGGGCATCCCTGTCTTGTGCCCGTTTTCAAAGGGAATGCTTCCAGTTTTTGCCCATTCAGTATGATATTGGCTGTGGGTTTGTCATAGATAGCTCTTATTATTTTAAGATACGTACCATCAATAACTAATTTATTGAGAGTTTTTAGCATGAAGAGTTGTTGAATTTTTTCAATGGCCTTTTCTGCATCTATTGAGATAATCATGTGGTTTTTGTCATTGGTTGTGTTTATATGCTGGATTACATTTATTGATTTGCATATGTTGAACCAGCCTTGCATCCCAGGGATGAAGCCCACTTGATCATGGTGGATAAGCTTTTTGATGTGCTGCTGGATTCGGTTTGCCAGTATTTTATTGAGGATTTTTGCATCGATGTTCATCAAGGATATTGGTCTAAAATTCTCTTTTTTTGTTGTGTCTCTGCCGGGCTTTGGTATCAGGATGATGCTGGCCTTATAAAATGAGTTAGGGAAGAGTCCCTCTTTTTCTATTGATTGGAATAGTTTCAGAAGGAATGGTACCAGCTCCTCCTTATACCTCTGGTAGAATTCAGCTGTGAATCCATCTGGCCCTGGATTTTTTTGGTTGGTAAGCTATTAATTATTGCCTCAATTTCAGAGCCTGTCATTGATCTCTTCAGAGATTCAACTTCCTGGTTTAATCTTGGGAGGGTGTATGTGTCGAGGAATTTTTCCATTTCTTCTAGATTTTCTAGTTTATTTGCATAGAGGTGTTTATAGTATTCTCTGATGGAAGTTTATATTTCTGTGGGATCGGTGGTGATATCCCCTTTATCATTTTTTATTGCGTCTATTTGATTCTTCTCTGTTTTCTTCTTTATTAGTCTTGCTAGCGGTCTATCAATTTTGTTGATCTTTTCAAAAAACCAGCTCCACCATTCAGGACATAGGCCTTGGCAAGGACTTCATGTCTAAAACACCAAAAGCAATGGCAACAAAAGCCAAAATGGACAAATGGGATCTAATTAAACTAAAGAGCTTCTGCACAGCAAAAGAAGCTACCATCAGGGTGAACAGGCAACCTACAGAATGGGAGAAAATTTTTGCAATCTACTTATCTGACCAAGGACTAATATCCAGAATCTACAATGAACTCAAACAAATTTACAAGAAAAAACAAACAACCCCATCAAAAAGTGGGCAAAGGATATGAACAGACACTTCTGAAAAGAAGACATTTATGCAGCCAAAAGACAGATGAAAAAATGCTCATCATCACTGGCCATCAGAGAAATGCAAATGAAAACCACAATGAGATACCATCTCACGCCAGTTAGAATGGCGATCATTAAAAAGTCAGGAAACAACAGTTGCTGGAGAGGATGTGGAGAAATAGGAACACTTTTACACTGTTGGTGGGACTGTAAACTAGTTCAACCATTGTGGAAGTCAGTGTGGTGATTCCTCAGGGATCTAGAACTAGAAATACCATTTGACCCAGGCATCCCATCACTGGGTATATACCCAAAGGATTATAAAACATGCTGCTATAAAGACACATGCACATGTATATTTATTGCGGCACTATTCACAATAGCAAAGACTTGGAACCAAGCCAAATGTCCAACAATGATAGACTGGATTAAGAAAATGTGGCACAGATACACCATGGAATACTATGCAGCCATAAAAAATGATGAGTTCATGTCCTTTGTAGGGACACGGATGAAGCTGGAAACCATCATTCTCAGCAAACTATCGCAAGAACGAAAAACCAAACACTGCATGTTCTCGCTCATAGGTGGGAATTGAACAATGAGAACACATGGACACGGGAAGGGGAACATCACACACAGGGGCCTGTTGTGGGGTGGTAGGAGGGGGGAGGGATAGCATTAGGAGATATACCTAATGTTAAATGACGAGTTAATGGGTGCAGCATACCAACATGGCACATGTATACATATGTAACAAACCGCACGTTGTGCACATGTACCCTAGAACTTAAAGTATAATAATAATAAAAAAGAAATATCTCTTCCTACTCACTGAGGCACTGATGATTTTCAATCTTTTCAAACAAAGGTCATCAAACTTCTCTACTGTATCCATTAGAGAAGTTTTCTGACCCTTATTTGAAAAGACTGAATTTTCATTATCTGTAAAGAGCCAGATAATAGTTTTGGCTTTGTACGTAGAGAGTCTCTGTTGTGATTCCTCAACTCCGTCATTAGATCACAAAAGCAGCCACAGTCAATATTTAAACCAACGGTCACAGGCAGAGTTGAACTGGCTATGGTTTGTCACACCTTGAATCTTTTAAATAAACATAGATGGACAGAAAGGAAGAAACATTGGTATTAGTGTTTAAAGTATTCCTCTTCATCAAAAATAGGAAATGTAAAAGAAAGGTAGTATCCCAGTTTAAGAGTAGTTTGACAAATATATGATTTTAAAATATTCCTGGATCATTATTATTTTAAAGTGACTTTATCTGCGACATGAGGCTTGACAATGTTGATGCTACAATTTCTCATATTTTTTACAGCATTACCTATTGGTATGTGTTGTGGTACCTGATTGTCAAAATAACAAACAAATGAAAAAGTGTGAAAAATTGAGATGACAAGATTGCTGAAGTAGCTTGAACATGGTAATGTGCTGAATTCTAGAAGCTGAGATGTATTGTGAGTTTTGATATAGTGAAATGTAATCAATATCAGACAGTGACCAATGTGTCTGACTATCCAATGTGCCTAGCATTCAACACTCAAATACTTCCGGCACAAACAAAAAAAGTGTCAATGTGATTGTCAGAGGCAAAAAAAGAGGAAAACAGAAAATTAGTTACAGACTAGCTTATTCTTAGAACAGTGCAGTACTTAAACTCTGACACAAAAGATTATCTGCGCTTGGTGTTTTTATCTATTATGGCTACATAATGCAATGGAATCAACTGAAAACATCCAATGCTTTATTGAGCTACTTGATACATACACATAAACTACATGTATGTGTGTGTGTGTCTGTGTGTGTGTGTGTCTGTATGTACGTATTCACTTTTTTTTAATACTCTCTCTAAAGATGTACACATCCTATTCCCTGGAGCCCGTCAATGTATTACCTTAGACGGTAAAAGGGGCTTTGCAGCTGTGGTTAAGTTAAAAATTTCAGATCGGGAGATTATCTTGTATTATCCATGTGAGCCTAATGTAATCACAAGTATCCTTCTAAGAGGGAGGCAGGAGGGCCAAGGTCAGAGGTAGGAGACTAGACTCAAAAGATTGGAGTGAAATAAAGAAGAGCTCATGAGCCAATAAAGAATACAAATGACCTCACAAAGCTAAAAAAAAGACAAGGAAACAGATTCTTCCATGAAGCTTCCAGAAGGAGTGTAGTCCTACTGACCTTCGGAACTGTAAGAAAATAAATGTGTATGGTTTTAAGTCATTACATTTATGGCAATTTGTTACAGTAGTATATTAGTCCATTCTTGCGCTGCTATAAAGAAATACCTGAGACTGGTTAATTTATAAAGGAAAGAGGTTTAATTGGCTCATGGTTCTGCAGGCTCTACAGGAAGCATGGTACCATTCCATCGGCATCTGGGTAGGTCTCAGGAAACTTACAATCATAGAAGAAGGTGAACAGGAAGCAAGCACATCTTATATGGCTGCAGCAGAAATAAGAGGGAGGGGTGGAGGTGCTACCTACTTTTAAACAACCAGACCTCATGAGACCTGTATCATGAGAACAGCGCTAGGGAGATGGTGCTAAACCATTCAGGAGAAACTGCCACATCATTCAAGCACCTCCCACCAGGCCCCACCTCCAACCCTGAGGATTACAATTGGACATGAGATTTGGGTAAGGACACAGATCCAAACCATATCAAGTAGTAATAGGAAGCTAATGCAGTAAGTTAAGTCAAACCATATCCTGCATTACATTGGGAGTCATTTTCTTAGCAGTAGTATAAATATGTTGGCTGTGATTGTTGCCATAATTTTGTCAATAATTAATTATGGTATTCATTTGTGATATAGTACCTGACATAGCTGAATATTCCATTCAAATTTAATTATTAACTTTTGGGGGATATTTTTTAACATGCTGCTTGTAACAAGCTATTTGCCTTTTTCTGATTTGTGTGTGTAAAACTCAGTGATATAATGCAGCTACAAAGTTAAATAAGAAAGTGACATTCTTCGAAATGTGAAACCAAATAAATTAGATAAAAATGATTCATATTTGTTATGAAAGTATGAGATTATAATACAAAAATACCAGCAAAATATTTGCTACTTTTGACAGGCTAAGAATTTAATTTTCAGCAAAAGTACATTCCCAAGTTTCTCTTTTGTTTTGTAATAAAATCCCAATTTCAGGGGATATTGAAATGTAAACAGGAAATAGGTGTCAGCCTCAGGTCACACCTACATAGAACAGTATACTTATGTACACCAAACATTTCACAATTGTTATCTTTAAGCTAAATAATCATCCCTCAGATTTGTTCTTAGGACAATACACAGCTTTTGTAAGTGCAATACATTTATTTTTCCTTTTAAGATACTAAATATGAATGAGGAGACATGTACCAAAAGTGATGAATGCTGGAAACAATCTTAAGCCAGGAAAAAGCATGAGGAAATTGAAACGTTTGAGAGATAGGTTATATTGGATGGAGAGGAAAAAAAAGGAAATACATTGCACTTTTTAGTTAGCTGTCTCCGGACTTTGTACCTTTTCGTTCCCATCAAACACTTTCGTCTTTTTTGTAGAAAACAAAAAGCAGCAAGCAACAACAGCAGCAAGAGCAGCAGCAGTTAAATAAAAAAGTAAAACAACAGAAAAATAATTTAGGTACTGAAAATGGTCAGAAAATAAATTTTGGATGATTAAATTAATATGAATTAAATTTATGCATTATAATTAGTTTGCTAGGGCTGCCATTGTAATGGCATTACAATGTAATTTGCATTACAATTACAAATAATTGTGACAGAGGAGACAACTCATACCAGGAGTGGGTTTCAAATTGGGACAGAAGCAAAGATATACAAGGCCAAAGCATGAAACTCAACTATAGGAAAAAATTTATTGGAAACAGGAGTAAAAAGGCTACCTGGCTGACTACCAAAGTAAGGGCAGAAAACATTAGCTAGAACTCAGCTAAGCAATTTTATATAAACAAGGCAATCTATCTTTATAGTTAGTCTTAAGAAATTATTTTGTTCATTCATGCATTTGATAAATAATACATTTTTATTGAATATCAAATATGTGCCACAAGCAATTCTAAATTTGAGAATACAGCATTGAGTGAAATAAACATCATCCCTGTTCTTATGCGGCTTAAGGTTTAATGATAGGAAGGTGTTCAGAAACATGTAAACAGGTAAATATATGCTATGAAGGAAATGAAGTAGGAAAAGGGAATATAAAAGTGTGTCAGCAGGGAGTTATTTTAGAGACAGCTGCCAAAAAGGCCTCTCTGATAGAATTATATTAGAACAGAAATATGACAGAAGTTTATAGTACATAACATGGAAAACCGTGAGGAAAGGATTAAAAGCGGATAGATTTATATGTGCAAAGGCCCTGAGGCAGGCACATGTTAGGTGTGTTAAAAGAACGGTTTGGCATCCACTGTGACTGGAATAGAGAGAAAAAGAGGGGCATGGAAGAAGCTGAGGTTTAAGAAGTCGCCTTTAAAAAGACTGTAGAGCCCAGAAAAGCAGAAGGAAAACTGCATCTTTTATTCTGATTGAGTGAGGAAATAACTAGATGCCCTTAAGCAGACGAATCCCATGGTAAAACTTGTTTAAAAGAGTAACTCTAGACATTGTGTGGGTCCAAACAGATCCAGAAAGATCAAGGCCAGGCGCAGTGGCTCACGCCTCTAATCCCAGCACTTTGGGAGGCTGAGTCTGGTGGATCACTTGATGTCAGGAGTTCGAGACCAGCCTGACCAACATAGTGAACTCTAATCTCTACTAAAAACACAAAAATCAGCCAGGCGTGGTGGCGTGCCCTTGTAGTCCCAGCTACTTAGGAGGTTGAGGCAGGAGACTTGCTTGAGCCCACGGGGCAGAGGTTGCAGTGAGCAAATATGTTGCCACTGCACTGCAGCCTGGGCAACAGAGTAAGACTCTTGTCTCCAAAAAAAAAAAAAAAAAGTCAGAGAGATCAGATAATATTGCAACACTATGGGTGGGAGATAATGGCAACTCTATTAGTTTGCTAGGGTTGCCATAATAAAATAGCACAGACCAGGTTGTATAAACAACAGACATTTATTTTCTCACAGTTCTGAGGCTAGAAGTTTCTTCTGAGGCCTTTCTCCTTGGCTTGCAGATGATGCTTTCTTGCTGGCTTCTCACATGGTCTTTTCTCTGTGCCCCAACATCCCTGGTATCTCTCTATCTCCTCATCTCTTCTTCTTATAATGACAACAGTCATATTTGAATAGGGCCCACCTTCATGGTATCATTTTATCCTAATCACATTTTAAATTAAAGGTCCTGTCACTGAATAGATTCCCATTTTGAAGGATGGGGATTAGGGCTTCAACATAGGGATCTGAGGGTAATACAGTTCAGCCCATCACAGTGTCTTAGCCTTCGGTGGTGGTAGTGGCAGTCATGAGGAAGAGAATATAAGGTTTTCTGATAGACTAGGTATGCAATGTCAAATATATGTCTGGTTGTCTTGATATAACAATGGAAAATAAAGTTGCTGGCAACTAGGATACGGAAAAACAAGGATGGAGTAAGTATGCAAAAATATTATTTTGGGGATGTAAAATTTGAAATAACTTTTAGGTTCCGAATAAAGATGCTAAATAAACAACCAAATATCCAAGAAGACGCCCATAAGTCCCTGTCGTAGGCTTTGAAATACCATGAAATCAGCTGTGATAGGAGCTCAGACTCAGAATGAGATTAAGGTGTGAGCCAAGTAAAGAGTAAGTCCCACTGCCCAGACCAATAAATTTGCAGTGCATATGGACAGGTTTCTATTTCTGCAGCCTAATAGAACAATCTGTATCTCCATAGTCTTCTTTTTATCTTTTCCTGAAAAGATCCTAAATTGCTCAAATAAATAAAAAATAATAATAGTTACACCAGCATCTTATGTTTCTGCCAAATATTGCCTCCTCTCTGCACTGTTTTTACCTTTAAATGGAACTTTTCTTGGTTTATTCAACTCTCCCCCCCGAAATAAGTAATTTATTAGACACTTTCTACGTGCTAAACACTCTTGTTTACAAACTTTACCTATAGAGTTATAGGATTGGTGTTATAAACACTGAAGAGAAGGCTGATTTTTCTGAAATTAAGAGAATGACTGCACTGATAAACCGGGAAAGAACATGAGGCACCTTACTCTCTAGCAAGCCAAGCAAAAGACAGAAACAAATACATACACATATTTTTAAAAACACTGAAGATTTTGTTTAAAAAATTATTTAAGATGTTTGGAATTGTAAGGGTTAAAGAATAAGTTGTTTTAAAAGCTTTGGAAAAGCAGCATTTTAAATTGTGCCTTGAATAATAAAAAATATTTTAAAAGGTAGAAAGGGCTCATGCTATAGAAGGTAAACAAAAGGTTTAAGGTACTAGTTAAAAATTATCTTTGTGAATACTTTTTCTTCCTGTGGTCAGTATTGTTCTGACCACAGCGAATTTAATTTTTTTGAATTATAATTTCAATTAATATTTTTCAACCCAGGCTTCAATCAGCTTTTTTTCAAGTAATTTGCAAAGAGTTCTAGAAAAAAAACTTGTTGTTTAGAGAAGCTAATTGTTCACAAAGGTTCCTAAGCAATTAATCTTACAATGTCAATTCTTTAACATAAATTGAATGCTTTAAAAGCTTCTTTTCACTTACTGTATAATTTCAAATTAAATTGAGACAACTACACTGAATAAAGCATGATAAAACCCTGAAGATCATTCAGCTGGTAAATTTGAATGTTTTGAATTTGTGTCATAGAATAAATCTGCTCTAAATCTTTCATGTGGCTTAAGTGAATAAGAAATGTAGCAAATGTCAACCTCAATGAAATGTTACACTGTAGGTGAGTTTCAGAATATCAAAAATACCTGAGTAATTCAAATGCTGATAATCATGTTATTACTGAACTCTGTTTATTTTTTTGTACTAGAGAGGAGATACAAAATATATTTTAAAAAATAAATGTTAAATTGATTATTGTGACATTTTCTTATGATATTTCTTAATAATGCCAAACATTAAAATAGCATTTACTTCAGCAACGATTTCTCTACTCTGGTCAATCAGAACAGAGTAGAGAAAACAATCAGACAACAATAAAGAAAAATCAATCAATGCTATAATATAGGAAGCACTGGTGCTAGTTAGAGAAAAAAAGGTTTCATCTCTAAAGTCTAAATATTAATTTTATTTTTTCAGGTCTTATATATGCAGAAAAATAACTTCAGCATGATACTACATATGGGTACACTAAAATACCCATAGGAAGGGGTGGTGGGAGAGGAGAAAGAAAAGAAAAGGAAAGAAGGATATTTAATGTTAATGCTAAAAGAGTCTCTAAATGCTAATCTTTCAAAATAAGTAAGTAGTATAAACATGGAAAGCTAGTAATGCCAATGCAAAAAATACTGTAATAATGGATTCTGTAAACCAGAGTGTTTAGTCTAAGAAAAATTAGCTAAGAATGGTTTATCTATATATAAATGGCTGGAGAACATAGAAATTTGTTTTCTCTCTTCTTATATAAGTGAAGGTGATTTTATACACACATACACACACCATGTATATGTATAAGTATATGGATTATATGAGGATAAAAGGTATATATACACATATATACATATATACCCATACATACATGTATATACATGTATGTGTGTATATATAAACATGTATATATGTATGTGTGTATGTATACACATATATATGTATTTTATATGTGTGTGTATATGTATACCTTTTATAAATTTTTATCTAACGGATACCACTTTTATTCATTTATATTTTCCGTCTCTAGGAAGTTTGATGCCTTTGAAATGCACTTTCATGTTGTATGTCATTAAGCAGCACTTATCTTTTACCTCGTTCACCCAGTAGAAACTACTCACATAATAACTTCAATTTTGCCTCTTAGTTTACAAAGTCTAAGGTGTTTACTATCTGATCCCTTACAGAAAAAGTTGCCACTGGTCTTCACTTTTTCAATATTTCTATAAAACATGCTACAATGCTTGTTATTCAGTTTTCTCTAAACATAATGTATTCACCATCCCACTAGTCAAAAAAAGCATTTGAAGTGTCTAGATATGCCGATATTTGGTGATTTGGGGGCAAAACACCATTATATTAGCATACAGTTTTTCAACAGCAAAATATATACATATATATATCAGTTAATTTTACTTTAAGAGCAAAATATAAATTGACTTGATGAATAGATTTTTCAAATATAATCTAACATTTCCTGAATATTGATTTATGAGGTGGTAGGATTAAATCATTTAATTAGCTGAGTTACAGCTGTCACACGTTGCTGGATCTCTTTTTATTAAAGTTTGAAAGAAAATCAAGCATGTCCTAGAACTGTCAACATAGAAAGTTTCCCCCCTACAGAGTTCTTTGATTTTTATTTTGTTCCATGTTGGAAAGTGGATGCTTTGACTTTGTCTTCTTAGGCAAGGAATCAATGAATTGAAAATTGTTCTGAACACTGGTAGATTAGGTGATATCACTGTGACTCCTGGGGGTACTGCAAACCGGTCACTATTGGAAGGTGTAGCACAGTGGGGTTTTATTACTGTGTGGGATATTCTCTCTCTCTCTCTCTCTCTCACACACACACACACACACACACACACACACACACTTCCTTATGTACCTACGTTCTATTTACCTCAATGTTCTATCTGTCTAAATAATAAAACAGCTGGAGCATTTAGCAAATACAAACCATATATACTAAATTTTCTTAAGATACAGCACTCCCTATAGGGAGCCAATTCATAAGCAATTTTGTCCTTAAAAAAAACTATTTTAAAAATATGCCTTTAGGCTTTGGTTCAAACACTTGCTTTTCCTTAAAAATAAAGTGTCCTTTAACATTAACTTTAAATGGCCATCTTTTTAAATTTTAAAAGTGCATTTCAAAGTGAGCACATCATGTACCTTGAAGCAATTGTATGTAGAGCACTATTAATATGCCAAAGGCTGGAAAAGATTATGCCCATTCTGACTTATATTACACCTTCACTGAATAAGGCACTCAGGACATTTGTGGATCTCGGTAGCAACTATTTTAAGGAAGGATGAACACTAAACCTGTGTTGGTTTCCTATACAGTAATATGTACGGATTGAGCATTTCTAATCTAAAAATTCGAGAGCTAAAGTGCTTCAAAATACAAACCGTTTTGAGTATCAATATAATGACAAAGGGGAAAATTCCACACCTGATCTCATGCAACAGGTTGCAGTCACAATGCAGGTGCACAACACACAGTTGATTCAGCACCCCCAAAGGAAAAATAAAAGTACAGCACATTTTGTTATTAGACTTGGGTTCCATTCCCAAAACATCTCATTATTTATAATGCAAGCTTTCTAAAATTGAAATATTCTGAAATCTGCAACACTTCTGGTCCCAAGCATTTCAAACTGTATGTACACTTACATTCAACCCATATGTACACTTATATCCATTTATATTTTCTGTGTTTAGTGTATTAAATACTTGTAATGTCAACTTGTGTGCCATTGTATGCCACCAATCAGCCTTTATATTTTACCTAGTTCACCATTAAAATCACATTTCTATTGATAATAGATCATAGTAGATTAAAGTTAAGACAGTTATGGATTGTGTATTATTATTATTAGAGAAATTGGAGAGAAAAACCAAAGTTTTCAGATAAATTTCATATATTTTATGAGGCTGTCATTTTTCATATTGTAATAGTCAAATATATACTAAAATGTTGGATGTCTCTGGTGCCAAATAAAGATGATGAATTGCTGCATTCATAATCAGAGAACTAAACCCACTCACACACAAACACACATGCGCATGCACACACATACAAATCTGAATTTTGTATAAGTTTAAGTTTTGAAAACATTTTTTATTATTTGGAGTGTTAAGGAACTTATGATCGTAACAAAAAGCATTTATATTCATCAGACCTCATCTATAGCTTTATTTCTTTTCCTTGCCCAAAGTCAAGAACACACAATATGAATGAAGCCATATCTAATTTCTCTTTTGTTTATACTTAATAATCGTATGATATAATAGGCCAGTGGACCCCAACCCTTTTGGCACCTGGGAGCAGTTTAATAAAAGACAATTTTTCCATGAACTGGGAAGGGTAGATGGTTTCAGGGTGATACAAGTACATTATATTTATTGTGCACTTTACTTCTATTATCATTACATTGTAATACATAATGAAATAATTACTCAACTCACCATAATGTAGAATCAGTGGGACCCCTGAGCTTGTTTTCCCGCAACTAGGCAGTCCCATCCAGGGGTGATGGGAGACAGTGAGAGATCATCAGGCATTTGATTCTCATAAGGAGCATACACCCTAGATACCTCCCATGTGCAGTTCACAATAGGGTTCGCGCTGCTGTGAGAATCTAAGCCGCCACTGATCTGACAGGAGATGGAGCGCAAGCAATGATGAGTAATAGGGAGCGGTTGTACATACAGTTGAAGCTCCTTGCCTGCTGCTCTCCTCCTGCTGTTCACCTCCTGCTGTGTGACCCAGTTCCTAGCAGGCAATGGGCCGGTACTGGTACTGGTACTGGTCTGTGACGCGGGGATTGGGGAACCCTGTAATAGACTACCTGGTCATAAGACTTTATAACATTTATAACTCTATAACATTTGCCAAGTTGACTTACTGATTTTTGAAATAATGAGGCCTGGGAAACTGAATATTACTCTATATTTCCTAAACTTACCTGACTAGAAGGACATATGAATCTATGAATTTAAATGATAGTATCAAACAGCAAACAGACTCCCAATGCAACATTTTAACTCATGTTATATGTATTTTAGTTCTTGCGATGTACAGTAACTCTGTGAAATTTCATACAACTATTAAAGCAATCTGTATAAACCTTTATCATTTCCTTTATTTGGCTATCATTATTGTTTTTAAGTACGTGGATTGCCCTAAAATATACATAATAAAGAAAACCAATATGTTTCAAAGTAGATGGTACTTTTGTGTTGGAAGATCGACTCGCATGCTGCATAATTGGGGGTATTTTAAATTCCATCATAAAGGGATGGTCAATGCAAATGAGTACTAAATGGTTCTGGGAAACCTAAGAACTTCGAACACTTGCATGGACAGGGAATTATTCAACCAATTACTTGAGAAACTACTGTATATAGTGAAGGCCTTGGGCACTTTTATCTAAACCAAAACCTGGGCTGAATGTTTCTGAAGTCACGTAAACTTAGTTTGACAAAAAGAAATGTCTATGACACATACATCTTTAAATATCAATGCAAAATTACTCATTTGGATTTTAAATTTTACTCATATAATGCAAACTAAGGATACTCAATTTAAGAAATATTGATGCATAGAAGTCTACCCCAAGTTACCAAACAGATGAGGTGAAATATAAAATCACTACTCACCAGCATGTTCAGTCTCATTTATAATTTGCCGACTGCCTATTTTTCTATGTGTGTCCAGTATCTTTATGAATCTCAAGAAATATGTGTCCGTTTAGAATGATAGCTTCAGATGGGGCTACTAAAACTACTTAAAAGTTTGGAATTTTGTGAGGATGTTTTTGATTATCACCAGGTGGAGGAGGATACCGCTAAAAATCTTGTGATGATCATAGTAGTCTATCTTAACAAAGGACTCTCACATTTTGCTTGTGGCCAATCATGTGTATGAAAATCTTGCTTAATAAGACTCACATATAACAATAATACATACAAAAACGTTACGTATTTGCATAATTTTAATAGTTATTTTCCAATAAAACAACTATAATCAAGTGTAGCTTTGCTTTCTGTTCATATTGCCCTTTGAGTTCACTATTTTATAAAGTTATGCCATTAACAGCACAATAGTTGTGATACTTGAATAATCAGAACAGCGCTTTGCCTGAATTGATAGCTGTAGAATTAGATGTAAGCATTTTAGTACTTCATAATGTTTTCTGTTATAGTTTGCTTGAACATTTGCATGTTGGAATGTATATTGTTATACTTTCAATGGCCTTCCTTCTGTATTTCCTTGTGTGTTATATTGATGTAGATTTTCTTGAAATGAACTTCTACAGGTTGGCTATGGAATCTATGTTTTCATTCCAGCATTGGAAAGGGATTCGAAAATATTTGTTACACAAAGTGGGTGAAAATCTTATAGGGTTGAACACACTACTGTGGAGAGATCAAAGATTCTTACCTCTATCCAGGTACACAGGTGTCACAGACTGATAGAGGAGTCAAAGGAATCACCTGTTGCCTCTATTCCTCCCCACCTGCAACCCACTTAACAAAGGACTCTCAAATACCAGAATGTGTAATTCCTTTCCTGTGATGATCTACTAAATTAGGACCATGATAGTAATAGATCCTCTTAAATTCAGTAGTGTAATTATACTTAAAAATAATCCTCTTAAATTTAGAGTGAATTTAGACAGAAGTATAACTCATGTAGATCAGAAACTTGCTTTATGACGAGGAACTGGGGCCCAGAGAAACTTGCCTACATGGAGTTATGCATAATTTATATTCCTGCCCCAGGTTCTACAGTCAGATATTTCTCTACAGCAGGCCTTTATGCATTTGTGTATTTTTGTCTGCTTTATATTATGTAGTGGTAATACCAAAAATACCCTTGATGACTATGATAAGTCAAAGGCATAATAATTGTTATTATGGTTATTAGCTTTAAAGACTTTGATTCACATTCACAAGTACATAATAAACTCCACCAGTCACACATAAAACAAGTTGGAAATGATTTTCAAACGTGTGATCAAGTTAAACACACATTTCTGTGTTCTGATCAAAGAACTGAAGTCTCAAATAAATAGCAAACAAAAGTGGAAATCATGTGTTCATACATAAAGGGTAATTCACTTCTCCATATATTATCATTTCATTTGGATTTGATTTCTAAAACTTCAGTTTTTCTTTCAATGTTGTTATAGTTATTATAAATTGAACCAAATTAGACACACCTGTATACATATATATATTTACCTATATATTTACATATATATATTTACATTACTGAATTAAATAAATGGTAACAGTTTTGTTAAAGTGGCAGTGTTTTTCTTATTTCTTATCTTAAAGGGTGAAAGTCTCTACACTTTGAATAGTAGCAGTAGAAAGTAGGGAGATTTATGTGATCTCAAGCAGACTGAAACTATGAAAAAAAATTGGCTCAGTTCCATAATAGATTTCCAAATTTTTACTTGATCAGTTGTGAGATAATTCTAAGTGGAAGCAATGAGTGCTTCACTTTCTCAAATAGAACAGAATATGCTGACGATATCTTTTATTCTCTTTAACAATATAAATGCAAATAAGAAAAAGTAGGGTTTTCCTTTCATGTGAGTTACATAGAGCTAATAAAAGAGTTTAAAAATATTTTATGAAGTTATATGAATCAGGTATAAAATGCTTTTGAAAATTCTTAGTTTTTGTATTCATTCTGAAATAATACTAAAGACTTTGGAACATTCTAAATATGTGTAAAATGATGACATTGAGCCTTTCATTTCAAAATAAGTGAATTATGAAATTATTATACTTAAGTACAATTACACTTCTTTAGTAGCTGTGACTGTTACCAAAAAATAACATTGTTGACCCCACTCTTAGGAAAATAGACATATTTTTCTCTATTTGGTCATTAAAATAAAATAAAAAAAACTGCCTGCTAGTATAAAAACCTTGGATGTTATATAAAATATAAACTTAAGACTGAATGATGGAAGAAAGAAGGAGCAACAACGTGTGACCTCTGGGCATAGACTAACATGTTTTTGAGTTCTCTGGTTTTTCTTTTTGCCTCACTTAACCCAGAATGAGTGCTGAAGTCAGTAATCTGAAAAAGCCAACAGGCACAGTTAAAATAGCCCAACAAAAGCCTGCTTTCTATAGCCAATGGATTAGAAAAGAGGAACTTAACCAAACAGAAAACTTTTAGAAATTAACTACTATGTTGCAGTCAGACACACACACACATACACACACACACGGTCCATCTCTACCAAAGTCACCAATAGCTGAGTGGCGAGCATAGATTACTACCCTTGCTAGATAATAAAGAGGCACTCCCTCACCTCCCATCCCCCCAGAGCACTGTCAGAGAAGACTGAGTAGGAGCCTGAACTTTCACTCTCACCTAGCACAGGTCTCCCTCTCACTGGAGCCAGAGGAGGCCCCATGGGGAGCAGGAACAAGGCACTCCTGGCTCTTCTCTCCAGGGAGGTAACAGTGGAGGGCTACAGGGAAACTGAAACTCTCACTTCTTCACGGCGATGATGAGGAGTTCCCTCTTCTCAAGTTAGGGGCCAAACAGGAAACTTGGGCTTCAACCCCTATCTGGCAGTAACTAAATGTACTCCCTTCCTCTGCCTGAGTGAGGTCAGAACAATGTACCTAAAATAGAGGGTTTAAATAATATCCAGAATCACATGACATAATACCTACTTGTTCAGTTTTCAATAGAAATTTACTCGGTATACCAAGAACCAGAAAGA